>NC_000012.12:116854067-117005582 GCF_000001405.40 Homo sapiens
GATAGGAATCTGGCAAAAGGGATCAGAAAGGGCCTCTGTGGGGCACTTACAGTGCCCACTACAGGGGCTAACTGGAGGTTTTGCGGACCAAAAATGTATAGGCTGATTCAAGAAGGGTTTTCCAGGGCGCCAGATTATGATAGATATTTAAATGTAGATTAATAGCACGAGGTGACAGTACATGCCTCTCAGGGCAACATTATGACACCAGCCATGAAAACATCGCATCAGGCCAAACTTTTGGGTTGCCATCAAGGCTGGGCGTGGTGGCTCACTCCTGTAATCACAGCATTTTGGAAGGCCAAAGTGGGAGGATCGCTTGAGCCCAGGAATTTGAGGACAGCCTGGGCAACATAGCGAGACCCCCATCTCTACAAAAAAAATTAAAAAATTAGCCAGGCATGGTGATATGCGCCTGTGGTCCCAGCTACTCCGAGGTGGGAGGATCGCTTGAGCCCAGGAGGTGGAGGCTGCAGTGAGCCGTGATCACACCACTGCACTCCAGCCTGGGCAACAGAGCTAGACCCTGTCTCAAAAAAGAAAAAAAAAAAGAAAACCAATTCAAATATGGCTTAAGTAAAATAAAGACTTTATTTGGTTTACGTAACTGTATGGGCTTCAGGCACAGCTGGATTCAGAGACTCCCAGTGTTGATATAGAATTGTGTCTCTCGGTCAGGCGCAGTGGCTCACGCCTGTAATCCCAGCACTTTGGGAGGCTGAAGCAGGCAGATCACTTGAGGTCAGGAGTTGGAGACCAGCCTGATCCCCTCTCTACTAAACACACACACACACACACACACACACACACACACACACACACACACACACACACACAACAACTAGCCAGGCGTGGTGGCCCACACCTGTAATCCCAGCTACTCAGGAGGCTGAAGCACAGGAATCGCTTAAACCTGGAGGCAGAGGTTGCAGTGAGCTGAGATAGCACCACTGCATTCCAGCCTGGGTGACAGAGTGAGACCCTATCTCTGTAAAAAAAAAAAAAAAAAGAGAGAGAGAGAGAGAGAATTGTGTCTTGGCCATCCCTCAATTCTGTTTTCCTCTGAGACAGTTTGATTTTCAGGCAGCTGGACCCATGTGGTGGTAAGATGGCCCGCAGCAGTTCTGCGTTTATGTTCTAGCAGCTTAACAACCCCTGCATCCCGAAAGCTCCACCAAAAGTCCTAAGACTGACTCTCATTTGTTTGTCCCAAACCAATTACTTTAGCTGGTGAGATGTGGAGCACTGGCCAGGCCTGGGCCAGCTGTTGAGCTCTTGAGGTAGTGAGAGGATGGAGTCGGCCCCTCTAAGTCATGTAGACTGAAAGTGGGGCAGGGATGGGTGTTCAAAGGAAAAGAGAAGGTCTGGTATCTAAAAAAACAACCTGGGCCAGGCGCGGTGGCTCACGCCTGTAATCCCAACACTTTGGGAGGCCGAGGCAGGTGGATCACCCGAGGTCAGGAGTTCGAGACCAGTCTGGCCAACATGGTGAAACCCCGTCTTTACTAAAAATACAAAAGTTAGCCAGACGTGGTGACACACGCTTGTAATCCCAGCTACTCAGGAGGCTGAGGCAGGAGAACAGCTTGAACCCAGGAAGCAGAGGTTGCAGTGAACCAATATCGTGCCACTGCACTCCAACCTGGGCAACAAGGGAGAAACTCTGTCTCCAAAAAAAAAGGTATGTGTACTCAAACTCCCATTCTTAGGATGAGACTAGAACCCGAGTTGTCCGCAGTTGGAGACATTAATCTGCAGCCTCATTGGCTTGTCCACAGGATACCATGCATAAATTATGGTTGTGTGCACTCACCTCGAACTGTTGGGCAAGTTTCCCAAACCTGTGGCCCAACCCAAGGGCATTCTTTAGGCCAGTCCTTCCCTTCAGGGTTTGGGCGGGGCGGTGGATCTTAGGAATTAGAGGAGAGAAGGAAGTGTCTGGCCTTCTGCCCAAGGGAACATTGGGGCAGGCAGGAGCCAGGGGCAGGGATCCTGTCCCTGTTATGCAGCTGGGTACTCCCAGAGTCTATGAGGGCCAGCCTTCCAAAAGGAAATGAAAACACAAATGTCTTTGGCTAGAAGTGCACAATCAGTTTTTTAATAAAGTCATTACAAATATGTACAAAGCGTCTCCAAGGTATGAAATTCCTCTTACAAAAGAGCACAACGACGTCAGAACCAACAACGTCAGAACCCAGAACGGAACGTCCCCAAGCTTATTGCCTCTCTGGCTAGGCCAGAGGCCTCACTAAGGTTCTCCAGATACCCTCCCAGCCGCCCCTGCCACGCACACGGGCTCCTTGGCGCTTATAGTGCAAAGACCTTCAGGAGAAGAAACTTGGGAGTTCAGGTTGGAGAAGAGGGTAGAAAGGAGGTAAGAAAAGCTTCCCGTGTCCTAGGAAATAAGTCATACAGGCCCTATTTGCAAATTCCTTGCACCTTCCCCGGGGCCTTATAGAAACCAGGAACACAGGGTTAGGGCATGAGTATATAAAATCCACAACGAAACCAACCAGCCTGTCCTTGAGTGTCCCCAAAGGTGACACTTTTTCCAGTAGACCTAAGTCAGGCCCCGGCTCCCAGTGGGGCCATGTGCTGGCACTCGCCCTGGAACTAGCAGTGCTGTGGGACGACCTCATGAAGGGACCCAGTGGAGCAGAGCAGTCAGCTCACGAGCGTGGGGGTCCCATGGACTCGAGTCCAAATCTTGGCTCAGGCACTTCGCTGGTGGTGTGGCCTTCAGCTAAGTTGCTTAACCTCTCTGAGCCTCAGCTTCCTCCACTGTAAAATGGGAATGCTAACAGTACTATCTGCTAAAGTGGGCATGAGGCATCGCGGAGGGGAAGACGGGTAAAGCACTTCGCCCAGTGCTTGGGAGTGGCGAGCACGCCATAAAAGGTAGCTTTGATTATTGTGTAAAGCAGCAAGGACCAGTCTGTTCATGCTGGAAATGAGTCGAGATTGCAGGCTTTTTAACTGCCTTTACCAGATAGCAGGGCTCTCAGTAAATACTATATAACAATCTGCCAGCAAAGCTTGGGGTCACAGTGGTGACCTGACAAATCTGTTAAACATCGTGAACCAGACTGGAAAGGAACATTTCACATCATCTGCTTCCGAGCAGGACTGCCCCTCCACCATCCACAAGTCAAGTCTCTTCTGAGATGGAATTCTACAACTGGCACATTGTAGATGCTCAATCAATATATGCTAAATGAATGAATGAGAATTTAAAAAATAAACTTTCAGCTTAAGCTTTAAAATGACACTTTGACATCAATTTCCTCCCCTCATGGAACTTCCAGTCAGCTCCATGGGACTAAGAAGAGTGTCTAGCTGGTCCCCCAAACCCTTAACCAACTTCTGACCTTCAGAAAAGAAATGGGTATTGACACAGAAGAGCAAAATCTGTGTTCTGGTCAATGCAACTTGTAATATCAGGTGGACACTCAAAAAGTCCACAATGGTGAGCCACTGTCCCTAAAAGATACTTGTGTAGGAGGTGGGTGGGTGAGGACTCCTCTAATGCCCCAGGGAGGGAGAGTGATATTTTATCACTGTCAGAAACATAATAATAGGAGAACATGAGATCAGCTACATACATTGTGAAAACCAGTCACAGTTTCATTTTTCTGTGACAGTATTGGGTAAATCACCCTTTCCTCTCACCATCAAAACAGAAAAGAATCAAAATAAGAAGTGGAGGCTGAGCTCGGTGGCTCATGCCTGTAATCCCAGCACTTTGGGAGGCCAAGGCAGGTGGATCACTTGAGGCCAGGAGTTCAAAACCACTCTGGCCAACATGGTAAAACCCCATCTCCACTAAAAATACAAAAATTAGCCGAGCGTGGTGGTGGGTGCCTGTAATCCCAGCTACTCAGGAGGCTGAGGCAGGAGAATCGCTTGAACCTGGGAGGTGGAGGTTGCAGTGAGCTGAGCTCGCACCACTGCACTCCAGCCTGGGTGACAGAGTGAGACTCTGTCTCAAAATAAAATAGAAGAAGAAGAAGAAGTGGAAAAGAAGTCCCCAGTATCCAAATGAAGGCGGCTAAAAAAAAAAAAAAAAAACGAACAAAAAAACAGGAACTGGGCTCTAAGAGATGCGCAGGGCCAAAAAAAACCCAAAAAAAAACAAAACAGGAACTGGGGTCTAGGACATGCGCACGGCCTAGGACCATGGACAGCAGCCATTGGGGCCAATGGGCTCCCCAGAGAAACTTCCTACTCAAGCTACACCAATAACAAAGAGAATAGGAAACGGACCCCCAAATTTGAAGAGATTGTATTTGTTTGTGGGAGATCAGGTGGGGGTGAGAAGCTTCCAGAAAGGACTGGATCTCATTCGGAGTGTTGAAGTCCCGGGGGCTCCAGTCCCAGCGGTTCCTGGCTCCCCACTCTCTGAGAGCAAGCAGCACCATCAGAAATGAAGAGGCAAAAGTCTCTTCATCTCATTATGCAGCAAGCTACCTAAACGATGATCTCAGAGGCCTCCCTCTGCTTGTACGGTCACACACACACACACACACACACACACACACACACACACACACACACACTGCTGTCTGCTGAAACCCGATATGAGGTCTTTTTTAAAATTTATTTCAAAGCCTCCCTCCCTTTCTCTCTCTCTCTCTTCACAGACGCTCTGCAGTGAAGCTAATCAAAATCAATGACTCCTTGGCAGCCAGAGAAAAGTGGGGGAGCGGTGGAGGAGAGGGAGGGATGTTGCCAGCACTTTGCACACTGTGGAAATATTTTTTAAAAAACAAGAACCACCCCACTATCTCATGCAATCCAAGTAATACAACAGGAGAGATGGTGGAGACAATATATACATATATATCATGCTTCAATTTCCTAATACAAATGTCCATCAAGAAGTCAAATCTCATATAAAAACAAGCATTAAAAACAACCCCGTGTCAAAAATCGGGGCAGTCGAGAAGTGCACTCCAATGAATGATGTGCAAGGAAAGGTCAGGATTCGATAAATACGTGGTCTCTAATAAAACAGGAGAATATCTACAAGGGACTTGGCTGAGAAGCTCTATCAGGAGGTCGTGGGTGCCCCAGTTCTCTCAGCAAAGTGGCTTCATTGAAATCAAAATCACCCAAAATGCCAACCCCAGCGTTTGGAGTTTGTATCCTCCAGGGGAAACATCAAAAGCCAGTAGGCAAGTCGGGGCTGAAAAAGGGATCCTCTCACCTTTCATCTTCTCCTGTGTCTACAGGTGGTCAGCATGCCCCCACTACGATCTTGAAGGTACAGCCTTAAAGAAGCAGAGAACTGTGATTGGATACAGCTGTGTAGTAATGGACGCCCCTCCCCAGAAAATGGGGGGAGCTGGAAAGACCCTAGTCTGTGGCTAAGAAAGTGATTAAATAGAAGCAGTGACTGTATTTCATATTATTCTAATGAATTTGCCTTCTCTAAGTTCGTAGCTTTGTGGGAATATTACCCACTGCTCTCTGCAGTCCCCAGCTAAGCGAGGGTCCCCTGCAAACATCAGCTAGGGGGAGGGCACGAGTAATGAGGAGAAACACGTTCTCCCAAAATAAGCATTATTCTTCTTTTTTTTTTTTTGGTTTGCTGAGTTCAAAGCTGCGGGGTGGGGGAGTCTTCCCTGGCATTCAGCAGCCCTGGGGTTGCATTTCTCTTTAAAGGGCTATTTAGGAAAACACAAGGAACGGATTTTAAAAGGAAGACAGAAAGAAATCCAGCTCCCAGCTTGCAGCAGCACTGAGAGGTTGTACATTCTAAAGGACCTGGTCATTTACAGCAAAGCCTATGGAGGGATAATTCCCATTTCAGCCGCATCCACCTTAACAAATGTGGATCCCACTGCTGGCTTCTTAGAACTGTACAGCAAAGCCTGTGGGGGGATAATTCCCATTTCAGCCGCATCCACCTTAAACATGGATCCCACTGCTGGCGTCTTAGAACTGGAGCGGTGTCTGCTAACCAGCCTGCTGGACCCTCTGTCTATAGGTACCGGGTGGTGACCTGCAAATCCAGCCTTGGAGAATGACCGTCCGAATCTGCAGCCTGACACCTCGCCACCTCGGCTTTGAAAATGGCAGTGTGTGGTATCCTGCACAGAGGAAGAATACCTGCTTATGTTGGATTTTTCGAAAATGAAAGCAAAAAATAATCACTGCTCCCTGAAGAGTCTTTGCAGCCAAGTCTCCGTCCAGCACACATCTTTTTTTAGCCCTTCTAGAAACTTCTGAAAATAGTAGCTTATCCTTGGGGGGAAAAAAATCAGACCTCTGTCAATCAGTGAGATGCTGGTGCATTTCATTTAAATGGCCCACTCCCTCCCACAACATCCCCCGGTTATAAATCATCTTTGAACAGAATGTAGCCATTTCTTGGCTCTTTAATCCATAAAACCTAAACCCTGAAATCCCCTTGGGGAGTGGAGGAGGCTGTGGGCTGAACTCCGAGGACACTTTTGTGGGGGTGGGGGAGATAGCAACCAAGTCATGCATGAGGTCAGCTTTCTGCCTCATAACCAGCAAGCCTCTCAATGCCATCCTCCCTCCTAGACCCCAAGGTTTGCTCCAAACCACCTCTGGATATTCGTCCCCAGGTAGAAGAAGAGAAGAGACTCTCAAGTGGCACTTTTGCAACTTGTCCCTTAAAAAAAAAAAAAAAAGAATCTGAAACAGCAAAATAGAAATCTCTCTTGTCCCCTGGCCTTCCAAGTCTGTCAACAGAATACCACAGCAGCACCAGCAGGAACGCACTTAGCACCAGCAAAATTTTAAGTGAAGCACCAGAGACACAAAAATCCCATTTCTCTTGACGTGACAGTGGGATCTAGCGATCGACCTAGGTAAGTACAGAGGGAGAGGCTAGGACGAGTCAAGAAATGGAGGCATCCCAGACTGCCCCTACACAATCGGTCCCAAGTCCTCACTTTTTTTTTCTATCATGCCTTTTGCACTGTTACCTCTTATTCCACCAGCATCTATCCCCAGGCAGTTGGCCGATGCTGGGGCTAATTCCCACCAGTCTTTGCAAATAGTTTCTAAGTACACAGCAGGCATCTCTCTTCTGGCGCCCCAGACATTACAGAATATCAAAGTTCACATCGCAAGGTGCAGAAAAGGAAGGCAACCACGTCCTCAACAAGGCATGCACTGATACGTAATATTCATATTTTCTTTTTTTATATATATAGAGCTGTATGTAAATAGCATTGGGGTGTCTGTTTCTGCAGCTGGATTTCCAAAGGGCTTCCCCAGTCCCATTCTGTGTTTCTACGATCGCTCCAGGCGCTGTCTTTACTCTCCACTTCCTTCTCGAAGTGCCAACCGCGGCCTTTCAAGCTCTGGGCTCCCCCTCTGGAAAACGGGAACCAGCTTTCTCCAAGGACACAGGGTTTTCACCAACCTGCAGAAATAAAGATTGGTATTTTGGTCAGTGCAGACAGCTGCTGGGGGTGACGTCAGTGCAGTGGGCCTCTGCACGCTCAGCCCCGGATGTCGGGAGGGGGAGGAGGGAGGGGAGAGCTACTGGATGCAAAGCTCTGGTTTTGGAGGAAGGATGCCTCAAAAGCTAGTCTTGGCACTCTTCCCCTTACCAGAATCTCTGTCTATGTAGCAGCCTTCCCCAAATAGACATTTGTGCGTGCACACACACTCCCCTCTCTGCTTTTAGACCTAGATATTTACATAGGCATCTTCAGAGATGTTTTTAAAAAGAAGAATCTAGAGACACATGAACTTTTTGCTTCTCCAAATTCAGAACAGGACCTTCCTCGATTCATTTCATAGACCCAGATTCAAGAGAGAGTTGTAGGGCAGTCTCTGTTCTCTTTTGTTTGTTTGTTCGTTCATTCATCCATTCACTTATTCCCAAGTATGCCAAGTGCCATACTAGGGGCTACAGGTTCAATGACGTAATTCTTGCCCCTTGAGGGGCTCAGAACCAACAGGGAGATGGGAAGAAGTGGATAATGACAGTCCCATGTAAAGAGCACATGCAGTCTGGGGAAACGTGGTCTATAGGAGCCCAGGGGAGGCAGCTCATAAGGGAGACAAAGCAGACTCCTCAGAGAGAGTGGCAGGCCCCTGCTGACTATTGAAGAGTGCCAGGAAACTAACCAGGATAAGAAAATGAGGCATCCTAGGCAGGGCAGAAAAAACAGCCCATACCCAGGAGCATCCACCACAGAATGCACAAAATGTGTGCACAAATGCTCATGGCAGAATTATCCATAATAGCAAAATACGGAAACAACCCAAATGTCCATCAACTGATGAATAAACAAAATGTGGTCTTTCCATACAATGGACTATTAGTCAGCCATCAAAAAGGAATGAAGTATTGATACGTGAAGATGGATGAACCTTGAAGGCATCATGCTAAGTCAAAGAAGCCAGACACAAAAGGACACATATTGTGTGATTCCATTTATATGAAATGTCCACAACAGGCAGATCTTCTGGGACAGAAAGGAGAATGGTGGTTGCCTAGGGCCGGGGCGGATAGGAGGAATTGGGGAGTGATACTCATGCGCATGGGGTTTCTTTCAGGGAAACGAAAATTTTCCAAAGTTGACTGTGAAGATGGCTGCAAAATTCTATGTATACTCCTCATCATTGACTTGTACACCTTAAAAAGGTAGGGTTTTTTGTTTGTTTGTTTGTTTGTTTGTTTGTTTGTTTGTTTTTGAGACAAGGTCTCGTTCTGTTGCCCAGGCTGGAGTGCAGTGGTACGATCTCAGCTCACTGCAACCTCTGCCTCCTGGGTTCAAGCAACCTCTGCCTCCTGCCTCAGCCTCCCAAGTAGCTGGGACTACAGGTGCATGCCATCATGCCCGGCTAAATTTTTGTATTTTTAGTAGAGACTGAGTTTTGCCATGTTGGCCAGACTGGTCTTGAACTCCTATCTTCAAGTGATCCACCCACCTCAGCCTCCCAAAGTGCTGTGATTACAGGCATGAGCCACCGTGCCCAGACTTAAAAGGACAGATAAGGTGGCTATAAGTTAGCGGGGGAGATAAGAACGTATCACCCGTTATTCTAAAGCAGGTGGCATATGAACGAGCATGTGGGTAATACACACCAAGTGATATAGGAGAGAAAGTGGAAGGGAGATCACTTTATGGCTTCTGGGTTTGAAAAAGTCTGAGATGTTGACTTGCATGAACTGTAGCAGCTGGTACCCTTGACTTCTGGCTTCCTTCTGGGTTTGGCCAACAGGAGGCACTAATGGGAAAGTAAGATCAGGTGTTTGTTCCCCAGCTC
This sequence comes from Homo sapiens, assembly GCF_000001405.40. Lineage (NCBI taxonomy): Eukaryota > Metazoa > Chordata > Mammalia > Primates > Hominidae > Homo > Homo sapiens. The sequence continues at coordinate 116,863,326 of NC_000012.12, forward strand.
CCCTCCCACTGGTCAGAGGTTGGCCACAGCCGCTGTCTGGACTCTGGTACAGTGACACCCTCCTGGAGACTCCAGGTCCCATTCCTTACCCTGGCACCTTCAGGCCAGGGTGGGAATAGCTCCCCTCTATGGCCAAGCCTGGGTACTGCATTCACTCTCGCTGGTTTCCCAAACCCTGCCCACGCCTTTGCTGTTGAAGCTGTCCTAAATTCTCCTCTGATTACTGAGTTTGGAAACACTTTCTGCCTCTTACTCGGGCCCTAATGGATACATCTGACTGCATGAAAGATATGAGTCATAAACACATGGACCCCATAGTCTATGTCAGCTGACAGTCACAAGGATCCAAATCAGTGACTTCAAACCTTTTGCTTTTTTTTTTTTTTTTAAAGAAACTGGGTCTCGCTCTGCCACCCAGGCAGGAGTGCAGTGGCGCCATCATAGCTCACTGCACCCTCGACCTCCTGAGCTCAAGCGATCCTCCCACCTCAGCCTCTAGCTGGGACTATCGGCATGCACCACCACATCTGGCTAATTTATTATTTTTATTTTTTCTTTTAGAGACAGGGTCTTTCTATGTTGCCTAGGCTGGTCTCAAACTCCTGGCCTCAAGCAATCGTCCCGCATTGGCCTCCCAAAGTGCTAGGATTACAGGTGTGCGCCACCACACCAGGCCAATTCCCCTTCTATCTCACGAGGGCACAAACACAGTAGGAACTCTGCATTGTTATGTAGCCACCATATATTTTCATAGAATATGGAATTAGTCATCAATCAACTCAATTGATAAATACATTCTAAATTTAGTTTATGAAACCAGCTTTTGTAACCCCTAAACATCTCTGTTGGTGTCTAGCCATAAACCTACAGAATGAAAGTCAGTGTAACCCTGCAGCATTAGCCTAAAATAATTATGCTGCCTTAAGCACAGGTGGGATGGAAGGAGAGACAGGAACACTTATTAAGTACCTATTATGCTATTGAGTGTGTGGACATCGTGCTAAGCATGGTTATCCGCACCAGATAAGGCCAGGTGCCTGCTTTAAATTTGCCTCCAGGCTTACTGGAAGGATATGCCATGCCAGAGACCAGTACTGTAAATGACCAATATCTGGAGGTGAACCAATAGCCTAGAAGTCAGAATGGGGTTACAATTACCAGGGAAGCTTCAGCGCGGACCCAGGATTTGATCAGGACCTAGAACACACACACATATTTTTTCCATATTTGGAAAAAGGAAGCGTGGCTTAGGTGGGGGAAGGGCCCAAACAAGACCAAGGACAGTGATAAGCATGGCACAAACAGGGAAGCGTGATGAGCAGGGAACTGTATCAGAAAGTTGTAGGAATTGAGGCCAGGTGCTATGGCTCACGCCTGTAATCCCAGCACTTCAGGAGACTGAGGAGAGAGGATTGCATAAGCCCAGGAGTTTGAGGCTGCTATGGGCTATATTTTATATATATAGGGTTTCTTTCTTTCTTTTTTCCAAGCAGCAGTAGTAATCGTGCAATTTAAAACTATTTTTAAAACATCAAGTCCATCAACCCCTGTGAGCCACTGCCCCACCCTTGGGATGTGTTCCCTTAAACTTGGCTCGTAAAGAATTTTCTCAGATGCTAACTCACAGCCAAAACTCGTGGCTGAAGTGATTCATGAAATACCTTTGAAAAAATGTCCCTGTTTCCATTTTTCATCCACCGTGTGAGGGGGGAGGCGGGCAGAGAGGGAGAACTTGAACCCACAAGGTCCTGCCTCCGTGGGCTGCAGTGATGTTGTGCCGCTTTGGGTATGGAAGGTGAAAGCTGAAAACCGTAAACCCCAGTGCAGCATTAGATGGGGCAAGAGGCTTATTCCCTTTTTCTGATGTCAGCAAAGAATTAGGACTCTTGGATTCCCTCCTAAGAGGCCCCAATTTTTAATTAAAAAAAAACCTTGGCCGGGTGTGGTGGCTCTTGCCTGTAATTCCAGCACTTTGGGAGGCCAAGGAGGCCAGAAGTTCGAGACCAGCCTGGGCAACATGGCAAAACCTCATCTCTACTAAACATACAAAAATTAGCCAGGTGTGGTGGTGCACACCTGTAATCTTCGCTACTCAGGAGGCTGAGGCACGAGAATCTCTAGAACCCGGGAAGTGGAGGTTGCAGTGAGCTGAGATCATGCCTCTGCACTCCATCCTGGGCAACAGAGCCAGACCCTGTCTCAATAAGTAAATAAATAAATAAAATTTAAAAAATACCTTTTTTGCCCTTGCTATTTGCACAAGTGATAAGTTACAAATTCAAACAGCAAAGAAGAATATAAAAATAAAAGGAAAGCCCCTTCAACCCAACCCTTAAGCCCCACTCCCTTTCCCAGAGGCAGCCAGTATTACCGGCTGGTTGTGTAGCCTCCCAGAGTATTTTCTGGTCATTTGTATACGCCATGTCTCTTTTTTGTTCTTTTCCTACCATTAGGTTCCCAGAGCCCAGCACAACGCCCAGCGTATACTAGGCGCTCAATTCATTATCTACTGAGGGAGAGTAAATAAGTGGCAAACGAATAAAGATGACAGGCTGGGTGTGGTGGCTCACGCCTGTAATCCCAGCAATTTGGGTGGCCGAGGCAGGTGGATCACTTGAGGTCAGGAGTTTGAGACCAGCCTGGCCAACATGGTAAAACCCCATCTCTACTAAAAATACAAAAATTAGCCAGGTGCGGTGGCGCACACCTGTAATCCCAGCTAGTCAGGAGGCTGAGACAGGAGAATCACTTAAACCCGGGAGGCAGAGGTTGCAGTGAACTGAGGTGGTACCATTGCACTCCAGCCTGGGAGAGAGAGCAAGATTCCATCTCAAAAAAAAAAAAAAAAAAGCAGTTTCTCGCATCTTCTGTCTTTGGTTTCAGCAGGTTGATTTTGACCAAGGAGTTTCAATGGTACCAATCATCCTAGTCCCTAAGACTTGAAGGAAGGACTGGGCATGGTGGCATGTGTCCCTAATCCCTGCTACTCAGGTGGCTGAGGCAGGAGGATTGCTTGAGCCCAGGAGTTTGAGGCCAACCTGGACAATATAGCAAGACCCTGTCTCAAAAAAAAAAAAAAAAAAAGACTTGGAGGAGAAGCTCTCCATGCAGAATCCTCTTGAAAAGAAGATTGCTCCGGTCCATGTTATCCCTTAAATCTCCATCTGTATAGTTCATGTCGGCCAGGTAGGAAGCTGAGTGCACAGGAGACTGTGGAAAGGAAGCTGAAAAGATGGCTAGGTTGTGATGTGTGAGGAAGGAAGAGGCCATTTGGCAGCCTCTGGAAGAAGTATTTGCTCTCCTTGGCCCAGCTCTCTTCTATCAGTGAACAGTTATCAATGCTATCAGCTACTAGATAGTGATTACTTAAAGTCTATGGAGAGAGACCTGAGCTCCTACCCACTAGGAACTTACGGCAGGTGGGCCTTGGAAGCCCAACTCGCTTGACTTTCAGAAGGGTAAGCAGTGAGAGTTGGGTAGTAGCTCAGCTCAGCACAGAATCAACGCCAAAACAAACAAACAAAAAATACAGACTCTTCTTAAGGCAAACTGTGGCCTGTAAGATAATGTTGCCCATGTCCCATGTCCCACATGTTATACTATGCACATTCTTTGACCTAACAATTTCACTTTCAGGAACTTCACTTTTTGTTTGCAAAGTTGTCCAAATATGAATGTCCCCTGCCGGGCACAGTGGCTCACACCTGTAATCCCAGCACTTTGGGAGGCCAAAATGGGAGGATCACTTGAGCCCAGGAGTTCCAGACCAGCCTGGGCCACATAATGAGACTCCATCTACACATATACAAAAAAAAACTTTTTTTTTTTTTTTTGAGATGGAGTTTCGCAATTATTGCCCAGGCTGGAGTGCAATAGCGTAATCTTGGCTCACTGCAACCTCCGCCACCTTGGTTCAAGCTATTCTCCGGCCTCAGCCTCCCAAGTAGCTGGGATTACAGGCATGCACCACCATGCCCCGCTATTTTTTTTGTATTTTTAGTAGAGATGGGGTTTCACTATGTTGGCCAGGCTGGTCTCGAACTCCTGACCTCAGGTGATCCACCTGCCTTGGCCTCCCAAAGTGCTGGGATTACAGGCCTGAGCCACTGCGCCCGGCCACAAAAAATTTTTAATTAGCCAATTGTGGTGGTGCATGTCTATAGTCCCAGCTACTCAGGAGGCTGAGGTAGGAAGATCACATAAGCTCAGGAGTTTAAGTTATAGTGGGCTATGATCATGCCACTGCACATCAGCCTGGGTGACACAGAAAGACCCTGTTTCTAAAACAACAAAAAAAGTGCCTAACAACCTTGTTTACCCTACCAGAAAACAGGAAACAATGCAAATGTTCCCAAGGAAGTGACCATATAAGGAAATCCTGGTTCATCCAAGCAACAGAACATCATGCAGCCATTAAAAAGGATGAGGAAAACCTTTGCGTGTTGACATGGGAAGATCTCAACCACCTATTTTTAGTGAGGAAAAAGCAGGTTACAAAACAGCATGAACAGTATGAGCTCATGTATTTAAAATAGGATGCGTGTGTGGGTGTCTATGCATCAAGGGAAGAGCATAGGGGGCTCCCTGAAATCAGGGGTCATGAACTGAAATGCACTGGACCCACTAAAGGTACCCAGGAGGGGCTGGGGACACTGTAGTGTTTTTGTGCTTTCTAAAGGGGTTTCTGACATTCATCTCCAGCCTGTTTCTGCCACATGGGAATACATGTGTTAGAATACATTGTTAGATCTTTTCATTTTTCAAGAAAAATTGGAAATACAGGCTTCTACCTGAAAATGACTGATTTTTTTTTTTTTATGGGATCTCACTTTGTTGCCCAGGCTGGTCTCGAACTGCTGGGCTCAAGTGATCCTCCTGCCCCAGCTTCCTGAGTAATGGGCACTACAGGAACATGCCACCACGCCTGGCTAAAATGCCTGACTTTTAAGTGTTGGGAGAAAACCACGCAGGTCAAACAGAACTCAACTGCAAGCCAAATTCAGCTAGAAGACCACCCATTTTCACCCTGCCTGAGATACTCAGACACTCCTACTATCCCCTGGCATTTAAGCTCGCCTCATCTTAACCCTCAGCAGCTATCTCTGGGCCCCAGGTTCTCCATCTGTACAATGACGGAGATGGGTTAGATGTCTCTAATGTCGTGTCTGGCTCTGGCTATGTTTCCAGAACACAGACCCTTTTGGCTCACAGATCTTTTGAGAATTGGATCCAAACTATGTTTTCTGTCCCAAGTAGGGGAAAGTAGAAGAGGAGGATGAAATCAGCCATGTTATTAGCTTGATTACTGGGTGTTCACAAATTTCCTGAGGCCTCCCCTACATTCATTCATTCATTCACCAGTTAGTGAATGTCACCATGGCCAGGTGCTGGGATACAGTAATGGGCAAAATAGGCATGGCGGTTTGCATCTTTCTGGGACCTGAAGGCCAGTGTTGCCCGGGCTGGGAAGCCCTGATCTAGTGGTTCTCCCAGCCCTGTCAGAGTGGCCTAAGTAGGCCCTTGGTGAGTCCCAGATTGGGGAAGGCAGGATTAAAGCAGATTAGCAACTGCCTTAAGCAAAAGGCTTACCATAAAGATGGGCCATACTATAAAGATGGGCCCATGGACTAAACTTCTTCTTCGTTTTTTTTTTTTTTTAAAGACAGGGTTTTTAAAAACAGCCTGTTGTCTGGGCTGGAGTGCAGTGGCACAATCATAGCTCACTGCAGACTTGACCTCCTGGGCTCAAGCGATCCTCCCACCTCAGCCTCCCGAGTAGCTGGGACTACAGGTGTGTGCCACAATGCCTGGCTAATTTTTGTACATATTTTTTTAAAATAGAGGCGAGATTTCGCCATGTTGGCCAGGCTGGTCTTGAACTCCTGATCTCAAGTGCTCTACCCACCTCGGTCCCCCAAAGTGCTGGGATTACAGGTGTGAGCCACCACACCCAGCCTATGGACTCAATTTTACACCAAATAAGAACAACACATATCATAGGCTGTCACTCACCATGTTCTGAACACCAGTACATCCTTGTACTGCACTGGAGTAGATTATAGCATGCTAGGAGCTCACTACAGAGATAAAACAGAATTTATTCTCCAAGCCACTCACATGTAGAGGGGGCTGAATCTGCGCCAGCTGCTTTATACATAGTGCTCCTCCAGCACAGATGCTATTATTCTTCCCATTTTACAGATGAGGAAACCAAGGCTCAGAAGGTAATGGGATCGGCCTAAGGTCACACAACTGGCAAATGCGAGATGGAGAAAGTGATGTGAAAGTCGGCCTGACTCCAAAATTCATGTCCCTTTCCATGAAGCTTCCCTGCCTCAGCATAAAGTATTGGTGAGGAAGATACACAGTTACCAGAGTTAAATTTTCTGAATCAAGCCTTAGGCTTTTTGGTCTGCCAACAGTCTCACATATTCTAAGTCTGAGCTATCTTTGAAAAATGGACCTTGGCCACGCGTGGTGGCTCACACCTGTAATCTCAGCACTCTGGGAGGCCAAGGCAGGCATATCTGGATCACTTGAGGTCAGGAGTTAGAGCACCAAACTGGCCAACATGGTAAACCCCTTCTCTACTAAAAATACAAAAATTAGCTGGGCGTGGTGGTGGGCACCTGTAATCCCAGCTACTCTGGAGGCTGAGGCGGAAGAATCGCTTGAACCCGGGAGGCAGAGGTTGCAGTGAGCCAAGATCGTGCCGCTGCACTCCAGCCTGGGCAACAGAGTGAGACTCCATCTAAAACACACACACACACACACAAAACAGAAAATGGTACCTCTTCTTGAATCCATTCCAGTAACTCAGACACATCCCCACTCCTGGAAGACCTCCCTCTCCACCCAGGCAAGCCATTTTGTCTTAGTTTCTCCAGCATCAGTGTGTTAGCATTTTACAGGACTTATTAAGTACCATGTGCTAGCTCCAAGAATATTAGATGAACATGATTCCTGCCCCCAGGATGATAGGTACAGTCAGGCAGAGAAGCTTTCCAGATTAGTGACATTACTGAGACTTGGAACCTTTCCCTGAAGTGGGGAGAGGCACGCTAGGCGTCATCCACACTCCCACACTGGCTAGAGGTGTGGTCCATGAAGACCAGTCCACAGCAAGGCAACAGAGATTCAGCTGAGGCCAGTCACAGCCAGCTCAAAAGCCAACAGACACCTGACATATAAAGGCCAGTGACATGGGCTGGGCACAGTGGCTCACACTTGGAATCTCAGCACTTTGGAAGGCTAAGGCAGAAAGACTGCTTGAGCCCAGGAGTTCCAGACCAGACTGGGCAACATAGCGAGACCCCATCTCTAAAAAAAAGTAAAAAATTAGTGGCACACACCAGTAGTCTCAGCTACCGGAGAGGCAAAGGTAGGAGAATCACTTGAGCCCAGGTCGAGGCTGCAGTGAGCCCTGATTGTGCCATTGCACCGCAGCCTGGGCAACAGAGAGACCCTGTCTCAAATAAATAAATAAAGGCCAATGACATGAATGAGATATGGGAGCCAACGGCAGTGTTTCCAGATCTTGACATGATTTTATGCTCTAGACAGCCTTTATAATACAAGAATGCTAACTATGTTTTTTGTTTGTTTGTATTTGAGACAGAGTCTCGCTCTGTCGCTCAAGCTGGAGTGCAATGGCATGATCTCGGCTCACTGCAACCTCTGCCTCCTGGGTTCAAGCGATTCTCTTGCCTCAGCCTCCCAGGTAGCTGGGATTACAGGCACGCGCCACCACGCCCAGCTAATTTTTGTTTTTGTTTTGTTTTGTTTTGTTTTGTTTTGTTTTGTTTTGTTTTAGTAGAAGCGAGGTTTCACCATGTTGGCCAGGCTGGTCTTAAACTCCTGACCTCAGGAGCTCTACCCACCTTGGCCCCCTAAAGTGCTGGGATTACAGGTGTGAGCCACCACACCCAGCCAAAAGAACGCTAAATATGTTTTGATATCAAAGTTACATTTGAGAGCATTAAAAACATTTTTTTTTAGATGGAGTTTCTCTCTGTCACCCAGGCTGAAGTTCAGTGGCACGATCTCGGCTCACTGCAACCTCCACCTCCCAGATTCAAGCGATTCTCTTGCCTCAGCCTCCCAAGTAGCTGGGACTATAGGCATGTGCCACCACACCAGGCTAATTTGTTTCTATTTTTAGTAGAGATGGGTTTCACCATGTTGGTCAGGCTGGTCTTGAACTCCTGACCTCAAATGATCCACCCACCTCGGCCTCCCAAAGTGCTGGGATTATAGGTGTGAGCCACCGTGCCCAGCCAAAAAAAAAAAAAAAAGTATTATTATTATTTTTTTTTTTTTGAGACAGGGTCTTGCTCTGTCGCCCAGGTTGGAGTACAGTGGCGTGATCACAGCTCACTGCAGCCTCAACCTCCCTGGGCTCAAGCGATCCTCCCATCTCAGCCTCCCGAGTAGCAGGACTACAGATGCAAGCCACCATGCTTGGCTAATTTTTCTTTTTTCTTTTTTTAGTAAAGATTGGGTCTCACTTTGTTGCCCTGGCTAGTATTGAACTCCTGGCTTCAAGCAATCCTCTCACCTGTGAGCATTAAAAAAATTTGTTTTAATTAGTTCTTTTTTTTTTTTCTTTGAGATGGGGGTCTCACTCTGTTGTCTGCCCAGGTTGGAGTACAGTGGTGTAATTGTAGCTCACTACAACTTCGAACTCCTGGGCTCAAGTGACTTCACAATGATGGATGGGGAATGTAAATGATGGACTAACCAAATAAAGCAATACCAACCAACTTCTAAGCATGGTGGCTCACGCCTGTAATCCCAGCACTTTGGGAGGCCAAGGCAGGTGGATCACAAGGTCAGGAGTTCGAGACCAGGATGGCCAATGTAGTGAAACTCTGTCTCTACTAAAAATACAAAAATTAAGCCAGGTGTGGTGGCAGGCACCTGTAATCCCAGCTACTCGGGAGGCTAAGGCAGGAGAATCTCTTGAACCTGGGAGGTGGAGGTTGCAGAGAGATTGCGCCATTGCACTCCAGCTCAGGCGACAGTGTGAGACTTCATCTCAAAACAAACAAACAAAAAGAAGTGTCTCATAGAAAAATATTAAGCTGTTGAACAAATGCCTGTGATATATGGAAAAGGTCAGGTTACAGATAATATATTTATAGTGATTCCAAGTCTTAAAGTACCTATCCAGCCAGGAATGGTGGTGCACACCTATAATCCCAACACTTTGGAAAACCAAGGCAGGAGGTCTTGAGCTCAGGAGTTCAAGACCAGCCTGGGCAACATAGCAAAACCCTGTCTCTACAAAAAATACAAAAATTAGCCAGGTGTGGTGGCGTGCACCTGTAGTCTCAGCTACTCAGAAGGCTGAGGTGGGAGAGTCGCTTGAGCCCAGGAGGTTAAGGCTGCAGTGAGCTACGATCCTGCTACTGCACTCCAGCCTGGGTGACAGAGTAAGACCCCGTCTCAAAAAAACAAAGAGAGAGAGAGACAGAGACAGAAACAGAGAGAGACAGGAAGAAGGAGGGACGGAAGGAAGGAAGGAAGAGAGGGAGGGAGGGAGGCAGGCAGGGAGGGAGGGAGGGAAAGAAAGAGAGAAAAAGAGAAAGGAAGAAAGAAAGGAAAGAGAAATGGCAGAAAGAAGGAAAGAAAATCACATCACTAAAGGGTCAAATCTAATGCAATGGAAAGGTAGAAAGGCTTAGAATCTGTCTGGTCTTTACATGGGAAAGGACTGCAATCTTCTGCTACTCAGACCTTCTGCTCAAAGCTGAACCTCCTTTCTCCAGAGGCAAGACTACAATTTTCTTTTTCATTTTTTTGTTTTGTTTTGTTTTGTTTTGTTTTGAGACAGAGTCTCATTATGTCACCCAGGACAGAGTGCAGTGGCACAATCATAGCTCACTGCAGCCACAAAGTCCTGGCTCAAGCAATCATCCTGCCTCAGCCTCCCCAGTAGCTGGGATTACAGGCACATGCCACCACGCCTGACTACAATTTTCTTTTATTCAGCATTTTCCAAATAGTTGCCAATGAACTTGTCATATTTTTTGTCATCAAGAAAAAGTTATTTATTTTTCTGAGACAGGGTCTCATTCTCTTGCCCAGCCTGTAGTACAGTGGTACGATTATAGCTCACTATAGCCTCAGTCTCCTGGGCTCAAGCAATCCTCCTACCTCACTCAGCCTCCCGAGTAGTTGGTAACACAGGTGCAGACCACCATACCTCACTAATTTCTTATTTTTTGTAGAGATGGGGTCTCACTATATTGCCCAGGTTAGTCTCAAGTTCCAGGGCTCAAGCAATCTTCCCACCTCAGCCTCCCCAAGTGCTGGGATTACAGGCATGAGCCACCACATCCAGCTACTTTTTAAAAAAGTAATATTATATCAAGTTTCCCAGAGCAATTAAATTCCACCCTGCCCAAGTCTCTGGCCCATGGAGCAAAGGTTCAGTGTGGGAAAGCTCTGTGGAAAGCAGCCATCTTGGATAAGCCAGTTGCCTCCCCACAGGAAAAGGAAGGAGCTTTCTCCTTGCCTGGCCAACCAGAAGTCGTAAAAGGATGCAACTTATTGATGTGGGCTAAATCAGAAATCCCCCACCCAACAGCAGGGGCACCAGTTTAGAGCAGGAAAGGAGAGGGGAGCCAGTGCTGAGTTGAATGGTGAGAGTTCTAAGGGTGATGGAAACCCAATCGATGTCCACAATGTTCCCCTGGCACTGAGGGGAGTGGGCATGAGTGAGTTGGTTCAGGGATCAGGACCTCTCAGACCTTGGCAGGAGGTGAACTGGTTTATTTCTACTAAGAGGTGAGGGCAGGGGCAAAGCCTGGGTCTCCTGTCTCTGAAAGAGTCTGGGGTCACCTGAGGGCTGTGGCTGGGACTCATTCATCTCTGCATCCCTGCATCTGGGCACCCAGCCCTGGCACCAAGCTACACTGCTTGTTTTTCTTTCCTGAAACGTACTATGCAGTCTTACCTCCGGGCCACTGGACTTAGCTCTCTCTCTTCCCAAAACACCTTTCTCGCATGTCTTCATATAGCTGGCTCCTTTCTGTCATTCAAGTCCACTATTCCCCTGGTTCCTCTTCAAAGTGTCCTGCCTTCCCTCATCACCACAGGTGAGGAGTCCCTGGGGCACTCTCTATTGTGTTACCTTTGTGTATTACCTTCAAAGCCCTGAGGAGTTTCTAAAATTATCTCTGTGTTAGATTGCATAATCCAAAGGTGGCCACTAAAATATCTCCCATTCCACATGCTATTCTAGAACCTCACCACTCCCCCATGAGGTGGAGTCTAATTCCGCCCCACCTTGAATCTGTATCAGCTTGTGACTTGCTTCTGACCCAAGTGACTTTGGAAGCTGGGACAGAAAAAGCAAAGCAGCTTCCACCTAGTTCCCTGGGGTACTTGCTTTTGGAGCTCTCAGTCACTGTGTCAGAATCCGGCTGCCATGCTGTGAGGAAGCCCAAGCCACACGAAGAGGCTGAGTATAGCTGCTCCAATTGACAGCCCCAGCTGACTCCCAGTATTAACAGCCAGACATGTAAATAAGGTTGCCTCCCCACCCATGACTCCAGTCCCCAGCCATCCTGGAGCAGAGACAAGTCACCCCCACTATGCCCTGACCAAATTCCTAACCCACAGAATGTGTGAGCATGGTCAAATATGTCAGCCTTCCATATAGGTGAGTTCCACATCCATGGATTCAACCAACCTCAGATCAAAACTATTGGAAAAAAAAATTTAAAAATAACACAAGTATAAAAAACACACATAAAAACAATACAGTATAATTAGTTACATAGCACTTACATTGTATTGGGTATTATAAGTAATCTAAAGATGATTTAAAGCCTACAGTGTGTGGGTTATATGCAAACACTACACCATTTTATATCAAGGACTTGGCATCCTTGGATTTTGGGATCCAAAGTGGGATCCTGGAACCACTCCCGCCCAGAGACAGAGGGATGGCTCTAGTTGTTTGAAGCAAAACTTAGTAGTTTTGGAGTAATTTGTTACACAGAAGTAGTAACAAGAACAATATTTACTTATTGTCTGTCTCTTCCCACTAAAATGTGGGCTCCATGAAAGCAGGGAACTCTTATGTCTTGGTCCTTCCTGTATCCACAGTGCCCTATACACAGAAGGTACTCAATAATTAGCAGTTGTATAAGTGGAAGAACCTGAATTTGGGAAACAATAGTGACTATGTTGCATAGTTTCTTTTTTTATTTTTTATTTTTTTGTAACAGAGTCTCACTCATTCTGTCGCCCAGGCTAGAGTACAGTGGCGCGATCTCGGCTCACTGCAACCTCCGCCTCCTGGGTTCATGCAATTCTCCTGCCTCAGCCTCCCAAGTAGCTGGGACTACAGGCACACACCATCATGCCTGGCTAATTTTTGTATTTTTAGTGGAGATGGGGTTTCACCACATTGGCCAGGCAGGTCTCGAACTCCTGACCTCAAGTGATCCACCCGCCTCAGCCTCTCAAAATGCTGGGATTACAGGTGTGAGCCAGCATACCCGGCTGATGTTGCATAGTTTCTGATTCATTTAACACAGCACATAGTTATTGTACACCTACTATGAGACAAGCAAGTTGCCAGGGACTAGGGACACTGTGGGTTAGCTTTCTATTCCCGTGAAATCCTATCACAGGGACACTAGTGAGGACTACCAAGAAACGGAAGCCCCCTCCCCACCTCTCGTTATCTGCCTGTCTAAAAGGCTGACTTTTCAAAAACTCTAGAGTTATGATTGCCAAATCCAGCCAGCCCACATCTGGGGGTATATTTAATTATCCCCGGGTGTGGCTCTTTTCCATCCACAGCTCAGTCACTTGTACTCTGGCCTCTCACTATGCGAGCGGATGACTCCAGACAGAGACCATGTGGCAGGAAGGCTGCCTGGTTCTGCACATCTGGCCCCTTCCCGGGGGGTTCCTCCCCAACAGCTGTCCTCCTCGGGCTCCCTCGCCAAACAGAAGGCCAAGCTTTCAAGCTCTAAAAGTAATTCTGGCAGGGGTGCTGCGAGCTGGGAGGGAGGCCTGCGGGATGCGCCTCCAGGTTTAACCACTTAATCCCCAAAGTACCTGCCAAGAACCAGTTAGCATGTCTGGCTGGTGGGCCAGGCTGTCATTAATTCATTAAAGCAGGCTCCCGCTGGCCCATTATCTTCCTTGCCACTGACCACGTCGCCTTATGGGCCTGCGGAGTCCCCCTCTCTCCCCTTCCCCTGCTCCCAAGGCAGGATTCTACCCAGCCCTGGCCCCGACTCCCAGGCAGATTCCTCGGCTCCATTCTCTCTCCCTCCCTGCCCCCTCCCCAGGCACGCTTCTCCCTCCCTCCCTCCCACGCCTCCGCCAGCCAGCACTCACCATAAAGCGTCTTTTGTTCCCTCTCTCCTGTATCTTTGAGTATTGACTGGTTAAATCATACCCATCCTCCTCCAGGCCTCCCCAGCCTCAGAGGAGCCTCCCCTGGGGCTCTGGAAGAAAGGGAATTTCACTTGTACAGGAATTCACTGTGCACCAACCCGGTCTGCTTACTGCCCCTATCTCCTCTTCCCCCGCAAGTCATGGGGTGGGGGGCGCTGTGTGCCCTCAAAGACAGAAGCTGCAGTTCCACTGGGGATCACTTAGGTGGATGCTCTCTGCCTCGGCTTCCCCTTTGAATTAAAAGGAATGACACTGACCATTTCATGACATCCTCTGTTGAGTGAAGTTAAGAGACAGACACTGCACTGGACTTTTTTGAGACAAGAGTCTCACTTTGTCGCCTAGGCTGGAGTGCAATAGTGCGATCTCAGCTTACTGCAACCTCTGCCTCTGGGACTCAAGTGATCCTCCCACCTCAGCCTCCTGAGTACCTGAGACTACAGGTGCACACCACCATGCCCAGCTAATTTTTTTTTTTTTTTTTTGGTACAGACAAGGTTTCACCATGTTGCCCAGGCTGGTCTTGAACTCCTGGGCTCAAGTGATCCGCCCACCTTGGCCTCCCAAAGAACTGGGATTACAGGACTGAACCACTGGCCCGGCCTGCACTGGACACTTTAAATGAATGTTCTCTTATCATTCTCCCAATAACCCTGGAAGGATACAGCTCCAGTTTACAGATAAAGGTGCAGAGGTAATGGTTCTTTCTCAAGGTCACGCTGTCAGCAAATGGCTGGACACTTAAGAGTCTCTTAACCATTATTCTCTCCTGACCCTTCTGGCACTGACTTCCCGGGAGGGCAGGTAGGAGTGGTGTGGAATGGCCAGCAATAATAATGGTAAAATGTTGACTACCTTGGGAAAGAATGATAGTAAATGCACAATAATAATCATGATGGCTCACATGTATATCCACTGTTCTAGAGCTTTCCGTGTATGAATTCATTTAACCCCCTTAATAACGTGCCTATGCACTAAGTCTGGCTGGTGGGCCCCCATTTTTTGCCCCCATTTTACATATGGGAAAACTTAGTCTTGGGTTTTTGTTTCTGTTTGTTATTTTTTTAAAGGATGACTTCTGAGAAAAGTATTGCTGGTTCGCAGTAGAGACTCAAAACAAGTATGCTGGATATATGTATGTGTATATACACATATATGTTTTAAATTATTATTGAGATGGAGTCTCGCTCTGTCGCCCAGGCTGGAGTGCAGTGGTGTGATCTCAGCTCTTCTTGGCTGACTGTAACCTCCGCCTCCCAGGTTCAAGCGATTCTCCTGCCTCAGCCTCCCGAGTAGCTGGGATTACAGGTGTGCACCACCACGCTCAGCTAATTTTTGTATTTTTAGTAGAGATGGGGTTTCACCATGTTGGCCATGCTGGTCTCAAACTCCTGACCTCAGGTGATCCACCTGCCTTGGCCTCCCAAAGTGCTGGAATTACAGGCGTGAGCCAACCTGCCTGGCCTGTATGTTGAAAATATTGATTCTGCATATAGCGGAGCACACCCTTTAAACCTATGGGAATTGAAAGTGGTAGTTCCCACCCTATATGGCTGGCACAGGCCTCCCTCAAACACCTAAGGTACAGCTGTGAACATTCCCCTTTTTCTTTTAGGGTAGGGAAGGTGGAGAGCACCCCATATCCAGCATAGAACGCAACAGACTGTCTTCCTCCGGTGATTTTTCTTTCCCCTTTACTTAACTTACCAGAGCTGGGAAAAAATGAGTTTCCCCAAATTAAATCAAAAGCACAAGAAAGGCCGGAGCGGCTGGTATTCTGAGGTCAGATGTAGGCTGCAGGGAGAGAACTTGATCAGGGCCAGTGCAGGGAGCCCGAGCACTGAGAACCCGGCCTGGGAGCGCAGGAAGGCGGGTGGTGAGCAATTCTACGGGTGTCCCGAGGGTATGAGGGGCGGTGCTGCTGGGAAGCCGAGCGGGGCATCCTGAGGTCAGGGCGCCAGAGGCTGCAGAACCCTGGAGGGTGTGGCTGCAGGGGACGCCCGGGCGGGACAAGGCAGGTAGGAGAAGAACCCAGAGGTGTGGGAAGAGGGTGTCTCCGAGTCAGGGCGCAGCACGGAAGTAACTCTGGGGTAGAAGGCGAGGGCGGGGCGGGGGAAATAAACTCCACAGAGACAATAACCTGCTGCTGCCCCCCAACACCGACTCAAAACAGCGAAACTCCTGGCCGCCGCCCTCCCCTGCAGCGCAGGCCCCAGTTACCCAACTCCTCCCCTGCGCTCCGGCGCAGAGCGGCGCAATCTGCCCGCCCCGCCCGCAGCCTCCCCTTCCAGGCCCCGGGAGCATTCCCACCCCGACACTCACACACCGGCAAACAGGAACACACAGTCAGGCTCCGGCCCGGAGTCCTCGGCCTCCCGGGAGGGGCACCCGACATCCCGCACGCCTGGTGCCGGAAGGGGAGAGCGTTTCCAATCTCCTGGACGACAGAACCAGAGAAAGCCGTGTCCCAGCCCTCTCTCCACAGTTCTATTTGATTTTACTACCTTCCTCTCTTTCCTTCTCATTCACTTTTCAATTGTCTTGCAACTTGTTTTCCAGGCAGTTTCTCTTTTTCTCTATCCTCCCCAAACTTCTTGTCCCTCCCCATCTCGTCGCTTGTTTTTTCTCTTCCTCTTCGCCCACTTTTTTTCTGCCTCTTCCCAAATTCCACGCTTTGGGCTTCGCGTCTGTCGCTCAACTTCCTTTTTCTGCACCCCGCGATCCATCCAAAATGTTCTTCCTGTCCCTGGGATTGGGCAGCCTCAGCCTGGCCCCTTTCAGTCGCGGGAGCCCCTGGCCTCTCCAACAGGAGAGAGAGAAGGTAGGGAGAAGTGGATGGGACCCCCGGCGCCCGGGAGCCGGGCAGAGAGCGCCCCGAAGCGCGCATTTCTCTTCGCCAGCGCCCGGGCTGCGCGGGCCCACGCGACATCTGTCGCCTGCGGTCCCGGCTCACACCCCGCGCACCCCCGCAGCTCCCTGGGCGCTGCCACCCCCCACGCTCCGGCTGCCGCCTTTCCCCGCGGGCGCAGACGCTCGGGCCTCGCCTTCAGGCGCCGCTCCAACTTCCCAGGGTGTCTGCGGCGCGCGGCGGGGCTCGGGGGCGGGGACCTAAGGGCGGCTGGCTATGTCACCTTCGAGCTTCACCTTCCGGCCCTAGACCCATCTATGGTGGGCTCAGCCTGATTCTCTCTCCCTCATTCTCTGCAGCGCTCCTCGCTACTCCAGGATCCAGAGTAGTAAGACGATGCTTACGCTGTGTGCTTCCTCAAAGCGCCTAGCACAGTGCCAGGCGCACAGCTAGGGCACAATGATCCCCCCACCCCAAGAGCCTAGTACCTTCCTCCCACTGATACCAACCACACTAGGTGCTCAGTACCCACTTCCTGTCCTAAGTTCTCAACACATGACCTCCCTAAACAGTGCCCAGCACCCCGAAGGAGCTCAATAAATGTTCCTTCCTTAAGGCTTCCCATTGGAGTTTCCCTGAAAGCCCCCTATTCCAGCCCACTCCGAGGGCGTCTCCTTCCCGTAGCAGCTACAACCGTCTGGGGAGAAGGAAGCCAAACTCCTTAAACAGGACACCTCACTCGAGAAGGAGCGAAGTTGGCAGGGCAGAGGAAAATTGCAAATGCGCGGAGCTTGGGAAGAAAGATTGGGCCAGCCAGAAACCTGGAGGGGGAGGAAGTCTCGAGATGCGCTTGGGGTGCCAGATAATGGGGATCAGAGATTGGAGAAGTGACACTTAGGGACAAGAGGTTGGGAGCAAAGGTGATGGAGACGGGGGCGACTCAGGAACGGCAAGAGGATTGGAACGGGACCGGGGACCTTTCTTGGAAGTGCGATAGATTTTAAGTATTTGGCGTGGCTTACAACTACATTCCCATAGCAAGCACACTTTTTACTTGCATTGTGTGTTTATTTGTGGGGCTGGTGGGGATTATGGAGGCTGAAGTCCTCCGCAAGCCACTGAGCTATAAGTGAGTAGCAAGATGCGCTTAAGGACTCGCAGAGATGGGGGCAGAAACGGTGGACCTTACACTTGGAAGGGAAGACTGGGGACTGGGTAGAAGAGGAGAGGTGGAGATGCTTGCAAGAGAAGAGAACGGAGGAAGAAGGAGAAGGGAAAAGAAGAAAGCCAAACTTGCCACTCTCCCGCTCCCGGGCCAGCCCAGCGTCTCCAGTGCCCAGCTGCCGCGCCCCGGCTCTCGCTCGCTCGCTCGCGTACCTGTTGCTCGCTCCGGCTGGGTCTCGGCTCCGGCCCCACCAAGAAGCCCCGCGTTCCTACAAGTTCCGCCTGCCGAGCAGCCAGGCCGCCAGCGCCGCCACCTGCGCGGCCGCGCACAGCCAAGGCCAGTAGGTGGGGAGCGCGCCGGGCGCCGGCGCCCTCCGGCTCCGCGCGCGGCGCCGCCACATGGTGCGCTGGTGCAGCTCGTCGCCTAGCGCCTTGAGCCGGGCGGCGGTGAGCTGCGCGGCGGACGAGCGCAGCCCCAGGCGACCCGCGCTGCAGGCGCACACGGCCGGGGGGCCGCGGCCGCGGTGCAGGGGGCACGGGCACATGACCGCTGGCCTCGCTCCCGCCCCGCGCTCGGGCCGCCCCTCGCCTCCTCTCCCTCCGGCCTCTGCGCCCGCTGCCGCCGCGCTCCAGCCGCCGGGGGCCTCCCCTGGACACCAAGTTTCTCCTTGTGTTGTGCGTTTGTTGTGCTGACGGCGCTATTATTAATTAAAGTGTCACATGGTGGAGGGGGGCGGGGAGGGGGGTTACATCATCCGGCCCCCGGGGGTTGGGGGGGGGGCTGCAGGCAGAAGAAACCGAGAGGTAACTTTTAACCCTAGCGGCGCCGGCAGCTAGGGAGCGCGAGGTTTGGGAGACGGGGAGCGCGGCGCGGGGCGGCGCGAGAAGGCTCCCCGCAGCGGAGGTCCTGGGCTTTGGGGGTCTCGGGGGACCCCCGCGGAGGCGCGGAGCGCGAGGGAAGGTTGTTCTCCTTCCCCTTTTCCTGAATTCAGCTCGAGTTCCGATTTGGCGAGGGAAAAAGGCTTGTTTGCCGTTTTGGATGAAGCTGATGCTGAATTCGGCTGCATTATTCAAAAATATTCCGAGGCTGTTGTTTTGTTTGGGGGAGGTGGGTGGATTCAAAATCTTATGGAAGGGTCAGATTACACCCAACTTGCCTCGTTTCAGGTCTGACTTGGCACCTGTAGGCTTTCAGCCTGACCCTAACGTGCCCCCAGCGCCTGGCTAGAAACCTGACCCTAAAGTGCCCCCAGCGCCCGGTGGGAGGCTGGATGGGCCCACCTGAGCTCGCGTGGGGCGCGGACGGAGGCATTCTCGCTGCCCGGCACCCGCACCCAAAAGACCCTCGCAAGGGGCTTTCTAAAGGGAAACTTCTTGTCTGCTTTCTTTGTGAACATTATTTTCCTGATGGCGTTACAGTTTTCTGCGATGACCCCGATTTAATGCGCAGTGGAGACCCTAAGGGGTCGGCGAGAGGAGGGGCGCGGGGGACTTTAATTCCCCCTTTTCCAATCCGACAGCCACTCCTGTGCACCTCCAGACTGGAGCGTCTGCAGTTGTCACAAACGGTGAAGGTTCAGATGGGCTGGGCGGCTGTCAGGATTCTGTGGGGGAGAATGAAACCTGTGATCTTAAATCGACTGGGATTCAGACAACTTTGGGATTCAGACCATCGGGATGAGTCCAGAGATGGCTCCAAGTTGGGAGTCTGGAACCTGCTGAGGGAGCTTCCGTTCTTGCCTTCCCACCGCAGAGTATAACCAAGATTCTTCGAGTCTGTGAACTTAGTTTTGGTCTGAATTGATCAGGAGGAGAAATGTCCCTTTTGGCCCACAGCGTGGTGAAATGACAACAAAGTCAGGGCTCAAAGCCCACAACACTGTGTGATTCTGGTGGCCTTTTCCCTCACCCAGCTCCAATTATTCTAGGCTTCATAATGGCCAAGACCTACTGCGCATCTTCTATGTCTGGCACCTGTGGGCTTTGGGCGCCCTTGCCTCTGCTGCCTAAAGGTAAATCTCCCAACAATTCTACATGCAATTACTATAATATTTCAAAGATGAGGAAGCTGAGGCACAGGTAGGTAAGGGTTCTTGCCCTAGCTCACAGAGTAGCTAAGAATGAAACCGTCATCTGAACTAGGGCAGTATGCCGCAGGCTCTAAGCTCTTAACCACGGTTTTATACTGCCCCCTGTAATCTGGGAATAATAATACCTCCATCCCAGGATTGGGGCAGAGATTAAATGAGAGAAATGTGTGCCAAGCACCTGGCACGCAGTGGGCCCTGGATAGACCTTGGTTCCCTTTGCTTCTCGCCAGAACCACTTCCCATTCTCCTGGGACTCACCTCCTTAATCCCCCTAGTCTTTACAGAGGGGACCTGATCCATTGCCCGGGTGTAGCGTTCCAAGAATGAAGACACAGTGTCTATTTAAAAAGCCCTTTGGATTTAAATTGAACAATTCCCTCCCCCCATTTTTAATCTGCACGCTTTTAACGGCTCACTTCATGGACATTAATTTTAATGGGACGATTATTACCCTGTTTGGAAGCCTGCCCCTCGAAATGCTGGGCTCGCAAGGTGGCGCTGGGTCGGGTCCCAGCAGCTTGGATGTTGTCTGTAGAAGAGGGGGTGCAATCTTGGCCGTGGGGATGCAACGTTCAGCAGAGGGGGAAGAGAAGGGGGTGATGAAAAAGTGGGAGAGAAGGAAGGACCTCTCTCTCCCTGACACTCTTAAGTCTGGCAGTCCTTAATTTGCACACATGAGTTATCCTGTGCTATTGGACCACTTACTAACTGGGGAGCATGGCCTTGAGAGGTGGCTTTTTGGAGCCTCCATTCTCTCAACTGTAAAGTGGGAATAATAATAGTACCCACCTCCCAGCCTAAATACCAGGAAAGCCCTTACTTAGCACAGTGCCTCCTGGCCCATCATTAGGTTTTTTGTTTTTTGTTTGTTTGTTTGTTTGTTTTTTAGACAGAGTCTTGCTCTGTCACCAGGCTGGAGTGCAGTGGCACGATCTTGGCTCACAGCAACCTCCACCTCCAGGTTCAAGCGATTCTCCCGCCTTGGCCTCCCCAGTAGCTGGGAGTACAGACACCCGCCACCACGCCCAGCTTATTTTTGTATTTTTAGTAGAAATGGGGTTTTGCCATGTCGGCCACGCTCGTCTCGAACTCCTAACCTTCAGTGATCCTCCTGCCTTGGCTTCCCAAAGTGCTGGGATTACAGGCATGAGCCACCATGCCCGGTCCCATCACTAGCATTTAATAAATGTTGACTACTGTTAATATTTTAGAGTGGATCATGTAGTTGTCAAATAGTGTACTTTGAAGAATGTTGGGGATCCACACCCTCAAATATATATAGTTCCCCTATTGTGAATTGGTGATTCCATTGCTGATATTAAGCATTGCTCAAAGAAAGCAAATTCTTTGGGAGGGTAACATGTCTCCTAGCACTTTTTAAATTGTCTTAATTTTTATTAAAAAAAATTTTTTTTTTAAATGGTGTTTCTCTCTGTGGCCCAGGTTGGAGTGCAGTGATGAGATCATAACTCACTGCAACCTCCAGCTCCTGGGCTCAAGCAATCCTCCCACCTCAGCTCTGGAGTAGCTGGGACCACAGACACACACCACCACACCTGGCTAATTTTAAAAAAACTTTTAGAGATTTTTTTGGGTCTTGCTATGTTGCCTAGGCTGGTCTTGAACTCCTGGGCTCAAGTAATCCTCCCACCGCAGCCTCTCGAGTGGCTAGAACTAGAGGCGTGCACCACCGTGCCAAGCTTCTCCTAACAGTTTAGTAAAAATGAGTTGTCGATTTCAATGTTTAACTTAATAAGCACTTATATAGTGCTCGCTCTGTGCCAGGTGCTGTTCTAAGTTCTCTAGACACATAACTCCTTTAATTCCCCTAATAACCCTATGAGACAGATACTATTGTTAGCCCAACGTTATGTATGCATAAACCAAGGCAGAGGGGTTAAGTAACTCATCCAAAGTCACACACCTGCCACGCCCCAGAGTTTGAGCCCTTTAGAATTAGGGTGACAAATGGTTACTGGGGACTTGGGAAGAGGGAGGGAGGCTGTAGTGGGATGAATTCTGTCCCCCCTGCCACCGCTCCACCCCAAATTGATAACCCCTGGAACTTCAAAATGTGGCTATATTTGGAGATAGCATCTTTAAGTAATTAAGTTAAAATGAGGTCATTAGGATGGACCTGAATCCATTATGACTGGTGTCCTCATAAGAAGAGGAAATTAGGACACAGACACAGACACACAGAAGGAAGACCATGTGAAGACAGAGGAAGAAGGCATCTACCAGCCAAGGAGAGAACCTAGAACAGGTCTTTCCTTCACAGCCCTCAGAAGGAACTAACCCTGCCCGGGCCTGGTGGCTCACACCTGTAATCCCAGCACTTTGGGAGACCCAGGCGGGTAGATTGCTTGAGCACAGGAGTTCAAGACTAGCCTGGGCAACATGGTGAAACCCTGTCTCTACAAAAAAAAAAAAATAGCTGGCATGGTGGTGTGCTCCTGTGGTTCCCAGCTACTCAGGCGGCTGAGGTGGAAGGATTGCTTGAGCCCAGGAAATCAAGGCTGCAGTGAGCCGAGATCATGCCATTGTGTTCCATCCTGGGTGACAGAATGAGGAGTGAGGCCCAGTCTCAAAAAAAAAAAAAAAAAAAGGAACCAACCCTGTCAACTCATTGAACTTGAACTTCCAGCCTCTAGAACTGTGAGAAAATAAATTTTTGTTGTTTAAGCCCCTGAGACTGTGGCATGTTGCTATGGCACCCCTAGCAAACAAATATAGAGAGGAACAACATCCTAAACAGGAAGCTAGAAGCAGATATTTCACCAGACTCTGGCTGCTTTTACTGTGGGGCACATGTGAGGACATTTTTCTGTGTTCTTGGGAAGGATGGGTTCTAGGACTGTTTGCCTGTTCCTCTTTTTTTTTTCTTTTTTTTTTTTTGAGACGGAGTCTTGCTCTGTCTCCCAGGCTGGAAAGCAGTGATGCAATCTCAGGTCACTGCAACCTCAGCCTCCCATGTTCAAGCGATTCTCCTTCCTCAGCCTCCCAAGTATCTGGGATTACAGGTGCCCACCACTGCACCTGGCTAATTTTTGTATTTTTAGTAGACACGGGGTTTCACCATCTTGACCAGGCTAGTCTCGAACTCCTGACCTTGTGATCTACCCGCCTCAGCCTTCCAAAGTGCTGGGATTACAGGCGTGAGCCACAGTACCCGGCCCCTGCCTGTTCCTCTTCTTCCTCATTGGTGTCCTGTTGGAGATCTTTAAGGGAGGAAGAGTTTTAGGAGATTATTTTGGAAAACAGTTTGTGGAACTCCAGTTCATCATACAGGGAAAACTTTTCTACCAGTTGCAAAAAATGCAACCTCTTTCTCATGAAGTAAAGAAATGGGAAAGGCTTTCTAGTCCATGAATGTTTCCTGTGGTCTCCCGGCTTAAAACCAGGCACACAGCAGGCACTCAAACTTTTTTTGAAATATAGACTCAGGCCGGACTCAGTGGCTTACACCTGTAATCCTAGCACTTTGGGAGGCTGAGGTGGGCAGATTGCCTGAGCTCAGGAGTTCGAGACCAGCCTGGGCAACATGGCAAAACCCTATCTCTACTAAAAATACAAAAAATTAGCCGAGTGTGGTGGTACGCGCCTGTACTCCCAGCTACTCAGGAGGCTGAGGCACGAGGATTGCTTGAACCTGGGAGGCTGAGGTTGCAGTGAGCTGAGATTGCACCACTTCGCTCCAGCCTGGGGAATAGAGTAAGACTCTGTCTCAAAAAAAAAAAAAATTAAAAAAAAAGAAGTAAAGACTCAATGAATGAATGAACAAATAGTAAGCATCCTGATTTGTCTCTCGCTTCCTTTTTTTTTTTTTTTTTTTTTTGAGATGGAGTCTCACTCTGTTGTCCAGGCTCCAGTGCACTGGCGTGATCTCAGCTCCCTGCAACCTCTGCCTCCCAGGTTCAAGTGATCCTCCTGCCTCAGCCGCCCGAGTAGCTGGAATTACAGGTGTGCTCCGCCATGCCCAGCTATTTTAGTAGAGACGGGGTTTCACCATGTTGCTCAGGCTGGTCTCAAACTCAAGTGATCCACCTGCCTCGGTCTCCCAAAGTGCTGGAATTACAGGCGTGAGCCACCACTCCTTACCTGTCTTTCTCTCTTTCAAACATATGCAGTGATATATGTACAATCGTTATGATCAAGTGTGTGTGTGCGTGCATGTGTGTGGATTCTTTCCCTAAATTATTCTCTTAACTCCTACAGAAATCAGTACTCAAGTGTATTGAACAGGAAGGGGTTGGGTATTTCCTTTCTTTAATTAAAACAATAATTACCTATCCTGGTGTTTGAGACCGAGTGAGCCTTACCTTATGGTGTTTTAATTTGTGTGGCTTGGTGGAGTGGTAAATGAATGAACAGCTGTTGACTCCTCCAAACAGCTGTGTTTCCTGAAGCCATGTATTAAAGCCAGGGCCAGATTCAATGCCAGGAGCCTGCTTGGTGAACAACAGAGTTCTTGAATTGAAATCAGAGATATAGCAGAGTTTGACACTTGGAGCCAGAGAGACCTGGGTTTGAACCCTAGTCCCACTATGCGATAGTTGGGTACCTGGGGCATATTTTCCACCTCTCTGAGCCTCCACTTTCCCATCTGCAAAATGGGACTAATAATCCTAGTACCTTCCTCATTGTGTTGTGAGGAGGATTAAAAAGAGAGAATGTCTGTCAAGTGTTTGGCAAAGTAGTTGGCACTCAGTAAATATTAGTTATGGTCTTTGTTGATATCTCAGGATTACTAAGCAGCCACTTGAGAACTGGAACAGGGACCCTGACCCAAGCCCACTGGGAATACAAGAGGATTCAGATTTCAGTGAGTACCTTATTCAATTACATCATGGCTATTCCCAGGAGAGTTTCCCTCCATCCAATAGACCCAGATCAGGACAGCGCTAATTTCTCACATTTACCCTATTTGACCCTCCCATACCTGAAAAAAAAATGGGGCAACCCCTTCTCCAGGGACGTCCTTGTAATTCATTTGATACCTCTCCCCTGAGGATCTTGTTGTTGTAAGCAAATGGAGAAGAGCACATGAACGTCCACAGCAGGGGAGAAAAAAATTAACCAGCCCATAATTATAGTCTCATCAATACTTTAAGTGTAAAGGGTAAACCTCACTTAAATAAAACCTAATTCCTTGATTACCGGAGTCACAAGAGATAGGGCTGATTAAACCTGCACCTCTGCTGTGAAAATCCAGTCATATTGTCCTTTGCTCAGGCAATAATCACTTTATTGAAGGCAACTGAGCTCAGTTTAAACACATGAATCACTAGACTTGAAATTATGCTGATGAAAGTGTAAATGAGGATAAATGCTGAAGAACATTTTGGCAGAGCTGGAAAAACTGAAAACGCACATGCCCTATGACCTGGTGATTCCACTTCCAGCTCTTTACTCTAGATCAGCGGTTCCCGACGGAGGACAACTTTGCTCCTCAGGAGACATTTGACAATATCTAGAGAGATTTCTGATGGTCAAAACTGAGGGATGTTATTGACATCTAGTGGGTAGAAGCCGGGGATGCTGCTAAAATCTTACAGGGCACAGGCCACCAAAAGTTACCTGGCCCAAAATGTTGTGACAGTTGTCAGAATCAAAATGCAGTTGCTAATGTTAAGAAAACCCTGACAGGGCCAGGTGCGGTGGCTCATGCCTGTAATCCCAGCACTTTGAGAGGCCAAGGCGGATGGATCACTTGAGGTCAGGAGTTCAAGACCAGTCTTGCCAACATGGTGAACTCCATCTCTACTAAAAACACAAAAATTAGCAGGACGTGGTGGTGCACACCTGTAATCCCAGCTACTGGGGAGGCTGAGACAGGAGAATCGCTTCAACCCGGGAGGCGGAGGTTGCAGTGAGCCAAGGTTGTACCACGGCACTCCAGCCTGGGTGACAAAGTGAGATTCTGTCTCAAAAAAAAAAAAAAAAAAGAAAAGAAAAGAAAACCCTTACAGGGCTACTTGAGGGTGGAGGTTGGGAGGAGGGAGAGGATCCGAAAAAATAACTATTAGGTACTAGGCTTTGCACCTGGGTGATGAAATAGTCTGTACAACAAACCCCCGTGACACGAGTTTACCTGTATAACAAAACTGCACATGGACCCCTGAACCTAAAATAAAAGTTAAGAAAAGAAAACCTTGACAGATAGAGCCAGGAAAGGCCATGCAGAGAAGGTTCTCGTGCTTGTATGCCTGATAACAAAAATGATCATAGAAGCCTGCAAAAACCACAGCCTTGCACAAGCCCTTTTGTGTAAGACCATCACAACCTTACACAAAAAAATACTCCTGCAGGGACGTCTGCCCAGCAACTGCCTGTGCAACTTTGGACTGGTGTCACTTTTGTTATTGATCTTTGTAGCCAAGGATAATTATTTCTAAGCAATTATGTAATCCTCCTCATGTTTTTTTCCTTGAAGAACCCTTGTCTTCTTTTACCTCTCTGCATGCACACATAGTTTACTATGCCGTGCATATTTTCATTACAATGCGTTGCTCCCAGAAAACGTCTTTTCTTCTGGAGAGAGCCTCTCTCTGTTATTTACATTGACAATGTCAATAGTGCTGACTGTGAGGTCCGGTGCGGTGGCTCACGCCTGTAATCCCAACACTTTGGGAGGCCGAGGCGGGTGGATCACCTGAGGTCAGGAGTTCAAGACCAGCCTGACCAACATGGAGAAACCCCGTTTATACTAAAAATACAAAATTAGCCAGGCGTGGTGGTGCATGCCTGTAATCCCAGCTACTCGGGAGGCTGAGGCAGGAGAATCGCTTGAACCCAGGAGGCAGACGTTGCTGTGAGTTGAGATTGCACCATTGCACTCCAGCCTGGGCAACAAAAGTGAAACGCCATCTAAAAAAAAAAAAATAGTGCTGAGTGTGAGAAACCATGCCCCAGATATATTAGCTAGTATGCATTGGGCAAAAGTAACAGGAAATTCAACTGGTAGAGCCTTAAATTATAAGAATTTTTATTGTTTATTTGGTAAGTCCAGAACAGGGGTTGGCAAACTATAGCCTATGGGCCAATCTGGTCTGCTGCCCGCTTTTGTAATAGATAGATCGATTATTGATCGATTGATGGGGTCTCGCTCTGTCACTCAGGCTGGAGTGTAGTGGTGCAATCATGGTTCACTGCAGCCTCAACCTCCTGGGTTCAAACAATCCTCCCACCTTGACCTTCTGAGTAGCTGGGACCACAGACATGCACCACAACACCTGACTAATTGATTTTTATTTTTTGTAGACATGGGGTCTTTCTATGTTGCCCAAGCTGGTCTCAAACTTCTGGGCTCAAGCGATCCTCCCACCTCAACCTCCCAAAGTGTTGGGATTACAGACATGAGCCACTGCACCCAGTTGTAATGGTTGTATTGAAACACAGTCATGCTTATTCATTTATATAATGGATGCTTTTCTGCTACAACAGTGGAGTTGAATAGTTTCAATAGAGACTATATGGCCTGCAAAGCCTAAACTATTTACTATCTGGCCCTTTACAGAAAAAGTGTGCTGATCCCTGCTCCAGGGGAAGGCATGGCCTTTCAAGGTTGGGTTTATGGTGCAAATATCTCATCAAAGATCAGGCTGTGCCTGTGCTTCCACTCCGTCACCCTTAGTATGTTGGTTTTAGTCTTCAGGCTTATTGCCTCATGGCAGCAAGATGGCTGCCACAGCTCCAGCTATCACATCCTTGATGCAAAAGGAGAGAGAAGGAAAAGAAAAAGAACTCCTTGTGCAGGTCTCTTGTTCAGGGGAAAAAAAACCTTTCTTAGAAGCCCCCCAGCAGATTTTTCTTAATCTCATCGACCAGCAGTAAATCTCATGCTCACTTCCAGACCAATGATTGGCAAAAGGTAATGTAATTGTCAGGTGTACTAGATCAAATAGTGTCTCCTCCAAAAGTTCTTCTCCACCTGCAACGTGTGGGTGTGACCTTATTTGGAAATCGGGTCTTTGCAGGTGTGAGCAAGTTAACATGAGGTCACACTGGATTAGGATGGATCTTAAGCAGTGACTAGTGTCCTTATAAGAAGAGGGGAATTTGGACACAGATATACACAGAGGGAGGACAGCTATGTGAAGATGGGGCAGATTGGAGTTGCACTGCTCAAGCCAAGGAACAGCAAGGATTGCCAGCTACCACCAGGAGCTAAAAAAGGCAAAGAAGAATTGTTCCCTAGGGCCTTTGGAGGGAGCATGGCCCTACTGACATCTTGACTTCAGGCTTCTAGTCTCAAGAACCATGAGAGAAGATATTGTTTCTGTTGTTTTAAGCCACCCAGTTGTTGGTAATTTGTTACAGCAGCCTAGGACGTGAATATACCATATGTATTAGGTTGGTGCAAAAGTAATTGCGGTTTTTACCATTAAAAGTAACGGCAAAAATTAGCCATTGGTCTGGAGATGAGCATGTGACCTATTGCTGGTCAATGAGATTAAGAAAAATCTGCTGGGGGGCTTCTAAGACAGGTTTTTCCCCTGGACAAGAGACCTACACCAGGAAATCTTTTCCTTTTCCTTCTCTCTACTTTTGCATTGAGGATCTGATATCTGGAGGACAAAAAAATCTAGTTAGTTAGAATTAGTTAGGCCAGCTGGGCACAGTGGCTCATGCCTGTAACCCAGCACTTTGGGAGGCTGAGATCACTTGAGCTCAGGAGTTCAAGACCAGCCTTGCCAACATGGTGAAACCCTGTCTCTACCATACAAAAATTAGCCAGGTGTGGTGGTGTGTGCCTATAATCCCAGCTACTCGGGAGACTGAGGCACATGAATCACTTGAACTCAGGAGGCATAGTTTACACTGAGCCAGATCGCACCACTGCACTCCAGCCTGGGCAACCGAGTTAAACTGTGTCTAAAAAAAAAAAAAAAAAAAAAAATAGTTAGGCTATGAATAGCCCAAAACACTCAAACTGATGCAGGGCAGGCAAGTCCCAAAGTGGGGCTTAGCCTGCAAGGGTTCTTGGCTTCACCCAGGAAGGAATTCAAGGGTGAGCTAGTTGTAGGGTAGAAGAAAACAGCTTTATTGAAGCAGCAGGGTTACCGCCCTGGCAGGGTTACAGCTCAATGACTGCTCCTGCAGAGCAGGGCCACCCCATAGGCAGTGTGCTGACAGCAGCAGATCAGGGCATCTCTGCAATCAGATTTGTACCTACTTTTAATTACATGTGGACTAAGGGGCAGTTTATGCAGTAATTTCTAAGAAAAGGGTGACAGCTTTTGAGTCTTTGGGTCATTGCCATGGAAAGGGGCAGTAACTCCCGGGTGTTGCCATGGCAATGGTAACTGACATGGCACTGTGGTGGTGTTTCTTATGGAAAGCGGCTTCTACCCCATCCCTGTGTTGGCTAGTCCTCAGTTTGGTCCAGTGTCCGAGCCCTGCCTCTGGACTTTAGTCTTGCCTCCTACCCCAAAACCTCAGTGGCTTAAATGAGATAGGATGTAGTTCCCTCTCATATATACAAAGAGTGAGGAAGGTGTTGTAGCTACATAGACATCAGGGTAACAGGGTCCTTCGATTTTGTTCTTCCACCAGCATTCCACACTGTCTCGTGATCTGAGATGGCTGCTTGAATGCCTGTCACACTTTTACATTCCCAGAATTACCATTTAACACTTTCATGTAGACTTCATATGTCAGAACTTAGTCATGTGGCCTCGCCTAGCTGCATAGACTGCTGGGAAATGTAGTCTTTTGGCGAGACATCAATGTGCCTACCTAATATATACGGGAGGTCTGTTATTAAAACGGAAGGGAAGAACAGAAGGTCTCTGCTTCACCATTATGGCCTTAAATCAGAGATTGACAAACTGTGGGCTGTGGCCAAATTCATACTTCCATCTGTTTGTTTGTTTTTAATTGGAATTTTTATTGAGATACAGTAGTCCCCCCCAACCAAGGGACATATGTGCCAAGACCCCAGTGGGTGCAGAAACTGAGGATAGTACCAAGCCCTATATATATCTATACTATGTTTTTCCTATACGTACATGTCTATTGTGAAGGGAAAATAAAAACTTGGGACCCCAATTCACTACGCCGAAAGAAAAAAAATAAGCTGGAAGCTGAGTCATGCAAGAAGCTGCCTTTCTGTTAGTTCCTAAGCAGAGAGCTACAGATACAAGGTTAAATATCCCCCCAGTCAGTACTCTATGTTCACCTTATCTATGTAAAGTGCCGATTTACTAAGCACGATACATCATGTAATTGACTATTCCCCTACGTGCTCCTTTTGTCTTACAACCTGTGGATGACCTTATCCTCCCTCTTTCCCTTCCAGCCCACTTCTCCTCTTTCAATATCGAAGCCCTCAAAGTCATCTTTGGAGAAAGGCAAAGACCACAGACTGTTTCTGTGATTCCATGTTTATTGCTTGCTGGCATGTCCTTAACCTTGGCAAAATACACTTCTAAATGGATTGAGCCATGTCTCAGATACTTTTTGGTTTACGCCATGATAAAGTTTAATTTATAAATTAGTCACAGTAAAAGATTAATTGCAATAATAAAATAGAACAATTATAGCAATATGCCAGCATCACCGCTCTTGGGCTTTGGGGCCATTATTAAGGAAAATAAGGGTTACTCGAACACAAGCACTGCAATACTTCAATAGTCAACCTGATAACCAAGATGGCAGCTAAGTGGCTAATGGACTGGTAGCATCTATGGCATGGATGTGCTGGAAAGAGGGATGACACACATCCTAGGTAGGATGGAGCAATGGAGCAGGGTGACGAGAGATTTCATCACTATTCAGAATACTGCACAATTTAAAACATATATATATATATATATATATATATATATATATATTTTTTTTTTTTTTTTTGATTCGAAGTTTCGTTCTTGTCCTCTAGACTGGAGTGCAGTGGCGCGTTCTTGGCTCATGGCAACCTCCGCCTCCCAAGTTCAAGTGAGTCTCCTGCCTCAGCCTACCAAGTAGCTGGGATTTCAGGTGCTCGCCACCATGCCTGGCTAATTTTTGTATTTTTAGTAGAGACGGAGTTTCATCATGTTGGACAGGCTGGCCTCAAACTCCTGACCTCAAGTGATTCACCTGCTTTGGCCTCCCAAAGTGCTGGGATTACAGGTATGAGCCACTGTGCCTGGCCATTAATTTTTTATTTCTGGAATTTTCCATTTAATATTTCCAGAAGTCAGTTGATGGTGGGTAACTGAAATCTTGGAAAGTGAAACCGTAGGTAAAGGGGGACTACTGTAATTATAGATTTATGTGCAATTTTAGAAGTAATATGGAGAGACCCCTAGACATTGCCCAATTTTCCCAATGGTAATATTTTACAAAACTGTAGTATAATATCAGAACCAGGATATTGATCCACTGATCTTACGCAGATTTCCTCAGGTTCACTTATACTCTTGGGTGTGTGTGTGTATGGTAAGTTCCATACCATTTTATTGCCTGTGTAGATTCATGTATCCACTCCCACAGTAAAGACACTGATTCCATGGTATGGCTGTATCATAGTTCGTTCAACCATTCACCCATTGAAGAATGTCTGAATCATTTACAGTTTTTGGCTATGAGAAATAAAACTGCTGTGAACATTTGCATACAGGTTTTTGTGTGAACATAAGTTTTCCTTTTTCTGGGATAAATGCCCAGGAATGCAATTGTTGGGTCATATGATAGTTGCATGTTTAGTTTTCTAAGAAACTGCCAAACAGTTTTCCAGACTAGCTGCACCATTGTGCATTCCTACCAGCAATGTATGTGTATGATCCTGTTTCTCCACATCCTCTCCAGCATTTGATGTCACTATTTTATATTTTAGCCATTCTGATAGGTATATAGTGATACCTCATTGTGAATTTTTTTGTTTGTTTGTTTGTTTGTTTGTTTGTTTTGAGACAGAGTCTCACTCTGTTGTCGAGGCTGGAGTGCAATGGCACGATCCCGGCTCACTGCAACCTCCGCCTCCCGGGTTCAAGTGATTCTCCTGCCTCAGCTTCCCGAGTAGCTGGGATTACAGGTGCCCACCACCATACCTGGCTAATTTTTTGTACTTTTAGTAGAGACAGGGTTTCACCATGTTGGCCAGGCTGGTCTCAAACTCCTGACCTCAGGTGATCCATCTGCCTTGGCCCCCCAAAATGCTGAGATTACAGGTGTGAACCACCGAGCCTGGCCTCATTGTGGTTTTGATTTGCTTTTCCCTAATAAGTAGCTAATGATGTTGACTATCTTTTCAAGTGTGTATTTGCTATCCGTATATCCTCTTGGGTGACTCCATCTATTTTTGTAAATAAAGTTTTATTGGAACACACACCTGTTCATTTATATATCATTGCTGTCTGCATTTACACTACAACAGCAGAGTTAGGACAGACACTATATGGCCTGCAAACCTAAAATATTTACCATCCTTGCCCTTTATAGAAAAATGTTGCCAGTCGCTGCCTCAGACAAATCATGATTTATTCCTTGAGGTGGCTGGGCACAAGGCTGTTCAAACACAATCAGGGTTTTATTGGGGAGAGAGAAGAGAAGAAATGACGTTTTCTGCTGTATTAGACATCCAGTGGTGTTCAAAGATGTTCACTGCAGCATTGTTTGAAATAACCAACATTTGGAAGCAACAAAAATATCTACCAAGAGAAGACTGGGTAAACAAATGTGGTATATTCGTACTATGGAACAGTGTGACAAATCACAAGAAATGAACTAGATTTATAGATAGATGTATTTCAAAAACATAATGTTGAGCAAAAGAAGGCATTTGTAAAATGAGGCAATTATTTGTACAGTTTGATACTGTTTATGTAAATTTGAAATACACAGAAAACAATACCATCAATTATTCATGAACACACACATATTTCTTTAAAATAGGCTGGAAGGATACACATGAAATTTACGATGGTGGTTTTGCTTTTGCCCTTGGGAGTGGAAGGGTAGAAATAGCACAGGGGTAATTGATAAAGGGGACTTTGGAAAGATATACATGCACTGGTATGTATAAGAGTTTAAGCCAGGTGCAGTGACACATGCCTATAATCCCAGCTATTTATGAGGCTGAGGCAGGAAGATCACTTGAGCCCAGGAGTTCAGGACCCACTTGGGCACTGTAACAAGACCCCGTCTGAAAAAAACAAAACAAAACAAAACAAAAAACTAACAATTAAAGAAGTTTAAGTGCATTTTCCACATATTTCAATTTCAGGATTTTTTTTTTTTTTTTTTTTTTTGAGACGGAACCTCGCTCTGTCCCCCAGGCTGGAGTGCAATGGCACGATCTCTGCTCACTGCAACCTCCGCCTCCTGGGTTCTAGCGATTCCCCTGTCTCAGACTCCCACGTAGCTAGAATTACAGGTGCCCACCACCACATCCGGCTAATTTTTGTATTTTTAGTAGAGACGGATTTCACCATGTTGGTCAGGCTGATCTCGAACTCCTGACCTCAGGTGATCCACCCACCTCGGCCTCCCAAAGTGCTGGGATTACAGGCATAAGCCACTGCACCCAGACCTCAATTTCAGGAATTTGATGACAAGGTTTTCAATAGTGAAGGTCAGCCCCATACCTCTATGTGTCATCATTTTACTGTTTCCCATTTTACTAAAATTACACAAATAAGGAGATCACAGAATTCACCGGTTTCCCTAGTTATTAGAGTGTCCTGAGCAGCTAGCAGACACATCGTTGATGCCTGCTCAGCGCTCACTCCCTGCCTTTAGGGAGTACCCTTTAGCTGTATCCCGTTTCAACCCTGTAATTCTGATAGAGGCTGCCAGCCTTCGGAGCTTCTGCACTTCCTTGGCCACAGAGGTGGGTAGCTGAGCCACACTGGGCCCTTACATCTTCCTGGCCTCAGTACTTGCTTGGAGATGGACACGTGGCTAGCTTCCCGCTTGCTGCAGAAGCAAGCACCCTTCAGAGGTGTGGCCTTTGGGATTAATCCTGATAGCTCAGCCCAGGGTCTGTTTCTTCAGACCTTTCAACAAGTTTGTGAGCAAGTTAACCCACTGTGGGAATACCCTTTCTGCTTATGAGGAATTCTCTCCTGTACAGCTGAACTCTGACTGATATTCAATAGATAAGCAAGATAGGCTGGGTGTGGTGGCTCCCACCTGTAATCCCAGCACTTTGGAAGGCCAAGGTGGGAGGATCACTTGAGGTCAGGAGTTCAAGACCAGCCTGGCCAACATGGCGAAATCCTGTCTTACTAAAAATACAAAAATTAACCGGGTGTGGTGGTTCACTCCTGTAATCCCAGCTACTATGGAGGCTGAGGCACAAGAATCACTTCAACCCAGGAGGAGATTGCAGTGAGCTGAGATGGTGACACTGCACTCAAGCCTGGGCGACAGAACAAGATTCTGTCTCAAAAAAAAAAAAAAAAAAAGAATCTGGGGCCTTACAGGGGGTATGTTCCCAGAGCCCCTCTCAAGAAGTAAAACAATAAGTGACTCTATGGGGTGGAGAAATGCCCAGAAAAGAATAATTGATCAAATGCAGTTGAATAACTCTGGCATACATTGTGATGTGCTACTCAGAACTCACTTCAGCAGTGATTCTCAATTTTTGCTGCAGGTTAGGATCACCTGGGAGCTTTAAAAAAAATCCTGATGTCCAGGATATCCTGATACCCAAACCAATAAAATCGGAATGTCTGGAGAGGGAGCCAGACAGCAGTGTTGTTACAGATCCCAGGTGGTTCCAACGTGCAGCCAAGTTTGACATGCACTGTCCTCCAGGAAGGAAGGGTGTGTTCCTCCAGGTGCTATAAGTGTTGCAGGAAGACTGCCCTCAGCTCTCAGTCCCCTATGGGAATTGCCTCACTTGAAGAAACTGCCTTATCCAAGATCATATTTCCTTCCAGGGGCAGTCCACATCTGTTGAGCAACCAATGGTGGGTTACAAAGGCCAGGCTCTTTTGCTACAATGGGAGACAACTGTAACGTACAGCGCTTGTTGTCATAGGAACCACATCATCTAGCTACATTGTTGTGATTCCCTGTACCAAATCCTCCTTCCTTTTCTTCCTTTTCATAGGTAGTGATCCCAAAGGTATCCCTAAAAAAACTGTCTGCATGCTAATCTCCATCTCAGATTCCACTTGCTGGGAAACCCAACCTGTGACAATAACCATGTCAGATCTTCCACCTCTGTCCACCTGACACGGAAGTCAAAGGGCAACACAGGTGAGGCCACTGAGTGGACCAGAGGGGAGCATCTGATCAAAGACAGCTCAGGCAGTAAACCTGTCAGAATTGCTCCCTCTCTGGTGGGACTCCACGTATTAGAGAGGATTTGCCAGTTGGCAGCGAAGAGAGAGGGAAGCAAACACGGTGGCGCCAGCTGATATTCCTGTCCTTAGATCTGTCTTGGATCCTGGTGGTTTTCATTTCGAACTTGATCCACTCATTCTTCATCCATTTGTTTAGGAATAGATGAGCTCTAGAAAGAGAGGCTAGCTTTCTCTCTACTTAATATGTTTCTAGTCACTAACTACTTAGATCAAGATTCCAGATTCAACTCTCCGGGTGTCTGGCCCATTTCTCCAGCTCTGAACTGCCTTTTTTTTTTTTCTCCTGAGATGGAGTTTCGCTCTTATTATCCAGGCTGGAGTGCAATGGCATGGACTCGGCTCACTGCAACCTCCGCCTCCTGGGTTCAAGCCATTCTCCTGCCTCAGCCTCCCTAGTAGCTGGGATTACAGGTGCCCACCACCACACCCAGCTAATTTTTGTATTTTTTGTAGAGACGGC
Source organism: Homo sapiens (assembly GCF_000001405.40). NCBI lineage: Eukaryota > Metazoa > Chordata > Mammalia > Primates > Hominidae > Homo > Homo sapiens. The sequence continues at coordinate 116,898,612 of NC_000012.12, forward strand.
AGTTTCACCACGTTGGGGATTTCACCATGTTGGCCAGCCTGGTCTTGAGCTCCTGACCTCAGGTGATCCACCCGCCTCAGCCTCCCAGAGTGCTGGGAGTACAGACGTGATATCTATTGGTAACATCATCCCCATTCCTCTAGAGAAATGACCATCTCTCACTGCATATGGTTCTGAAGGGACTAGCAATCATAGGACATACATGCACTACGTGTATACAGGGCATACATGTGATCAGTCCCAGCCAATCATAGTATCACCTTCCCTGACTCTCACTGTGGGCATGTGACCCACAGTGTCATATGCTAATCAGAGTCCTTCCCTGAGACATTTATCTATGGATGCTGGGAGTGAGAAATAACTTCTTTTCTCTGGTGCTACTAAACTGGAATAATATAAGCTTGGAGCTGTGTACAGCAATGCTTTTTCCCTAAGTGCAATAAAAGAAAGTGAGACCAACAGAGAAAAAGAGGGAGAGAAGGGGAGAGACAAATCAGAAAGAGAAGCCTGAAGGCTAGTTTCAGAGCCTGAGTTTCCCTTTTTTAAACTGTAGTTTTTTAATTTTTTGAGACAGAGTCTTGCTCTGTCACCCAGGCTGGAGTGCAGTGGTGCCATATCAGCTCACTGCAACCTCTGTCTCCTGGGTTCAAGCTATTCTTCTGCCTCAGCATCCAGAGTAGCTGGTATTACTGGCGCGCTCCACCGCACCCGGCTAATTTTTGTATTTTTAGGAGAGACGGGGTTTCGTCATGTTGGCCACGGTGGTCTTGAATTCCTGGCCTCAAGTGATTGGCCTGCCTTGGCCTCCCAAAGTGCTGGATTACAGGCACGAGCCACTGCTCCTGGCCTGAGTGTCCCTTTTTACCCTTGGACTTCCCAGAGCAAAATTAATTCTCTTTTTAGCTAAAGTCATTTTCAATTGGGTTTCTTTTTTTTCAACCTATGGATCTTAGGTAATACAGAACCTAACCTGGTCTGGAGAAGGAAGGCAGGGAGGGCTTCTTGAAGGAAGTAACCTCTAACATGAAACCTGGTAAGAGTTAGGCAGGTGCCGGTGGGAAGGGAGGCGAATTCCAGGGACAAGAGAGCATGACAAAGTGAAAGCTGAAAGAGGTTGGGATGATGAGATTAGATTGGAGACTGAGGAGAGTGTTGAGAGGTCAGGCTACAGACAGATGTGGGGTAGAGACCTCAGAAGGTTTTACATGGCATCCGCCTTGGAGAAATCTCATGAAAGTGGACATTAAGATTTACAAAGCAGATGGACAGGTCCTCAAAGAACTCAAGGGCATTGCAGACATTCCTGACTTCATCCTCATGATGGCCCCAGTGATGTCCATCTGCAAAGTGCTTTGAGAACATTCTGAGTGGCTTAGGGTACTTTGCTGCTATTAAGTGCCCATATAAATCCCAACTTATTGGCTCAAATATTTGATTTCCTATTTTTCTTTCCACTTGCGTGTCACCTGTAATTAGAGTTCCAAAGTGCTCAGTGTACCAAAGTGCTCAGGGTGATTTTTCTATTAAAACAGAAAGGAGAGAGGACTCATCGTTTCTGCAGATTGCAAAGTGGAACAGGCAACTGTTTCCATCACCTGCATGGGCAATTGTGTTGAGATTGATGAGACACATCAATGACACCCCTCACTTTTTTCTTAAAGGACTGAATTTATCTTTCTCTCTCCTACTCAATGTGTGTGTGAATGTGTGTATGGTTGTGTCTACCTTTATTACTTGCAGGCTCATCAGCAGCACAAATTTTTTTTTTTTTTTTTTTTTTTTTGAGATAGGGTCTCACTCTGTCACCCAGGCTGGAATGCAGTGACATGATCATGGATCACTGCAACCTTCATCTCCTGGGCTCAAGCAATTCTCCCACCTCAGCCTTCCGAGTGGCTGGGAGTACAGGCATGTGCTATCATAACTTGCTATTTTTTTTTTTTTTTTTGTAGCGACGAGGTCTTGCTATGTTGCCCAGGCTGGTCTTGAACTCCTGGGCTCAAGTGATCCTCCTGCCTCGGCCTCCCAAAGTGCTGGGATTACAGGTGTGAGCGACTGTGCCAGGCTTAGCAGCACAAATATTTATTGAGCATCCACTGGGTGTGGACACAAATCTCAGAAACACCTTCTGCTCTCTCTGAGCTCCATCATCCATTCATTAATTGATTCATTCATTCCACCAAGCAAGATTTACTGAGCACACTCTAGGAACCAGGCTGTATGAAAGGAGATGAGGATGCCCTGATGAACAAGATAGGCACGGCCCCCAGCCTCAGGGAGCCCGCATCCTAATGGGGGAGACACACAAAACAAACAGATAATAAATAAAACCACTTATCTATTGAGGTACAGCTCTGTTTCAGTGATAGGGATAATTGTGTGTGGATGCATTACTTAAATGGAATGGTCAGGGGGGTCACGTTTGAACTGAGAGCTGAAGGATGAAGAGGCAACCTCACTGAGGAGTGATACAGGAAGAGTGTTTTAGGAAGAGGGAAGTGGGTTCAAAAGCCCCCAAGGTGGAAAAGAAGTTAGCTTTTTTCAGACTACAGATAAGTTTGAATGGGAAGATATAAAATAAACACTGGAACCCTCACACAGTGCTGGTGGGGATGTAAAGTGGTGGATGGCAGGTCCTTAAGTGATTAAACATGATTTAAAATTATTTAACCCAGCAATTCTGCTCCTAGCAATATACCAAGGAGAAATAAGAAACTATGCCTACACAAAAACCTGTACAGGAATCTTTGTAGACACATTATTCTTTTTCGTTTAATATATTTTTTTAAGGACAGGGTCTCACTTTGTTGACCAGGCTGGAGTGCAGTGGTACAAACATGACTCACTGCAGCCTCTACCTCCTAGGCTCAAGTGATCCTCCCACTTCAGTCCCCCAAGTAGCTGGGACTACAGGTGTGCACCACACCTGGCTAATTTTTGTATTTTTTGTAAAGATGAGGTTTTGACGTGTTGCCCAGACTGGTCTTGAACTCGTGAGCTCAAGCAATCCATCCACCCAAAGTGCTAGGATTACAGGCATGAGCCACAGCACCTGGTCAGAAGCATTATTCTCAATAGCCAAAAGATGGAAGCAACTCAAGTGCCCATCAATGTCTGTAAAATAAGGACCGTTTTTTAATAGATGAATTGAGAAACAAATTTTAGTCTATCCATACAATGGAATATTATTCAGCCATGAAAAGGAATCAAGTATTGATACCTGCTGGAACGGGATGAGCCTGGAAAAGATTAACTGAATGAAAGAAGCTAGACACAAAAGGTCACATACTATATGATTCCATCTATATGAAATGTCCAGAATAGAGAAATCTACAGAGACAGAAAGCACAATGATGATTGCCCAGGAAGGACTGGAGGTGATGGCTAAAGTGAGTAGGGTTTCTTTTGGGGGGTGATGCAAGTATTCTAAAATTGTGGCAATGGTGACATATATCTGTGCATACTCTAAAATACATTGAATTGTATGCTTTCAATGGGTGAATGGTGCAGTATGTGTATTATATTTCAATAAAGCTGTTGTAAAATATGATCTCATTTATTATTTCAAGAACAGTGGAGGTACCTTTAGGTGTTTTAAATAGGGAAATGTCCTGATCTGATTCACTTTTCCAAAAGCTCTCTGGCAGCTCTGTGATTCATTGGCAGGAGCAACAATTGAGATGGGGAGACCAGTGGGGAGGTTCTGCAGTGGGCTAGACTCCATGACGGTGCCTTGGATTTAGGGGGTTGTCAGATTTAGCAAAGAGAAATACAGGATGCCCAGTTAAATTTGAATTTCAGATAAGCAAAGAATATTTTTAGTATAATATATCCCAAATATTGCATAGGACAAAATTATTCTTTGCTTATCTAAAATTTAAATTTTGCATGGGTATACTTACACTAAAATAATTCATTGTCTGTCTGAAATTCCATTTTAACTATGTGTCTTGCATTTTACCTGGTGACCTTCCTTGGACTAGGATGGTGGTGAGGGAGATAGAGAGAAGAGAAGTGAACAGATTGAAGATACAGTTTTTCTTTGTTTTGTTTTCTTACTTTCTTTTCTTTTTTTTTTTTTTTTTTTTTTTTTGACAGGGGCTTGCTCTGTCTCCCAGGCTGGAGTGCAGTGGTGCAATCTCAGCTCACTGCAGCCTTGAACTCCTGGGCTCAGTCAATCCTCTGACTTCAGCCTCCCTAGTAGCTGGGGCTACAGGCATGCACCACTACTCCTGGTTAATTTTTTTAATTATTATTTTTAAAGATAAGGTTGTCCTATGTTGCCCAGGCTGGTCTCAAACTCCTGAGGCCCGTGCGATCTTCCTGCCTCAGCCCCCCAAATTGCTGGGATTATAAATGTGAGCCACCTTGCCTGGCCTCAAAATATATTTTGAAAGTAGAATTATCTTGACTTGAGCTGGGCACAGTGGCTCATGCCTGTAATCCCAGCACTTTCAGAGGCCGAGATGGGCAGATCACCTGAGACCAGGAGTTCGAGACCAGCCTGGCCAACACGGTGAAACCCAGTCTCTACTAAAAATACAAAAATTAGCCGGACCTGGTGGCGGGCATCTGTAATCCCAGCTACTCAGGAGGCTGAGGTAAGAGAGTGGCGTGAACCCGGGAGGTGGAGGTTGCAGTAAGCAGAGATTCCACCACTGCACTCCAGCCTGGATGACAGAGCAAGACTCCATCTCAAAAACAAAAAAAAAATTATCAGCCCTTGATGTGAGAGGTGAGGGAGAGTGAGAACTCAAGTTCTTGGCTGAAGCATCAACGTAGTGTCATCATGTGCTGAGATGGGAAAAACTTAGTTGGATTGCAAAGAAATAAGATGAGAGGAATAATTTGAAATTTAATAAATTGGGAGGGATGACTTGGAATAAAGAAAATAATTTTGAGGCCAGGCGCGGTGGCTCACGCCTGTAATCCCAGCACTTTGGGAGGCCGAGGTGAGTGGGTCACCTAAGGTCGGGAGTTGGAGACCAGCCTGACTAATATGGTGAAACCCCGTCTCTACTAAAAATACAAAAATTAGCCAGGCGTGGTGGCGGGCAACTGTAGTCCCAGCTACTCGGGAGGCTGAGACAGGAGAATTGCTTGAACCTGGGAGGCGGAGGTTGCAGTAAGCCAAGATCACGCCACTGCACTCCAGCCTGAGTGACAGAGTGAGACTCTGTCTCTAAATAAATAAATAAATAAATAAATAAATAAACAATTTTGAGGTTCTTTGTTTCATAGGAGTGAGAGTTAAAGTCATACTAATGACAGGAGTATCTCTGCTTCATGTGAGCCCAGACTAGGATGGCTGCACAAGCTTGCCCTGGTGCCTTGCCTCTTAAGTAGACAGGCAAGGAAATTGGCTCTTGCTGTCCCAGGGTCTGAGCTGGAGTCTGGGCACTTATCCTGGGGACCCAAGCCATTGCCTCCTCCTTCGGCGCCAGCAGTAACTGAGCAAAGTGTCTCTCATGAGCATCAGGCTGGAAGTGAATTCTCAAGACAAATAAAAAGATGCAAGAGGTGAGAGAGAGCGAGAGACCCAAGGATGGAACACGTTTTTTTCTCCAGGGGAGGGTAACACTTTCAGAGGGAAAGATTTTGGAACCAGACTGGAGAAATGAAAAGGGAAGGGGCTTTAATAAAAGCAAGAGGGGGTTGAAGAGAGAGAAAGAGAGGTGGGAAGAGAGTTGGGTCCATATGGGACAAGCTTCTTTTGAATGACTAAGTCTGTAAGTGGCAGCTGACGCTGAATCCCGTCTGTGCAGCATTTTTTAAAAAATGGAATTATTGATGGGAAAGTTCTCAAGAACAAGGAAATTTTTTTTTTTTTTTGCTACAGATCGTTTTTCTTTTATTTCAAGCCCAGTTAAAAAAAATTTTTTTTGCAGAATTTTATATTTTGCTAATATGAAAGCATAAATCATGTCTACAGCAAGGGATGCATCCAGGTAAGGCTGACATTCAGAATGGCCACTCACATCATTGCGATGTTCTGTTCATGTTTCTAAACAATGTACTTAGAAATCATCACCATTTCTTATTTTCATTTTCATATTAATTTCCTGATGCTCACACATTAGTGATCCCAAATGAGGTGTGATTCTTCAGTCGCTACTTACAAGAGGGGAGGAAGTAGCAATGTAAGTTGAAGGGAGTTTTGACTCAACTCATGGCTTGTTCAAGAATAAACTACCGTTTGCTTGTTTGCTTTTTTTTTTCCTTTTTCTTTTTCGAAATGGAATCTCACTCGGTCCCCCAGGCTAGAGTGCAGTGGCGCGATCTCATCTCACTGTAACCTTCGCCTCCCGGGTTTAAGCGATTCTTATGCCTTAGCCTCCTGAGTGGCTGGGATTACAGGAACGTGCCACCATGACCTGCTGATATTTGTATTTTTAGTAGAGATGGGGTTTCGCTATGTTGGCCAGGCTGGTCTCAAACTCCTGACCTCAGGTGATCTACCCACCTTGGCCTCCCAAAGTGCTGGGATTACAGGCGTGAGCCACCGTGTCCGGCCGCTTTTTTTTTTTTTTTTTTTTTTTTTTTTTTTTTTTAAGAGAGAGGGTCTTGCTCTGTCGGAGTGCAGTGGAATGATCACAGCTCACTGCAACCTCAGACTCCTGGGCTCTAGGGATCCTCTTGCCTCAGTCTCCCGAGTAGCTAGGACTATAGGCATGTACCATCATGTCTGGTTAATTGTAATTTTTTATATTTTGTAAAGATGGGGCATCACTATGTTGCCCAGGCTGGTCTTGAACTCCTGGTCTCTAGCCATTCTCCCGCCTCAGTCTCCCAAGGCATTGGGTTTACAGGTATGAGCCACTGCATACAGCTACTGGTTGCTTTGAAGGTACTGAATGCAATGTACACTTTTAGATAAACATCTTTGTTTAAAAAATGAAATTAGTTGCTAACAATGGTCATTTTTCATAATTAAAAATCAAGACATTGAATTTTGGAAGATGTGGGCTAAGATGCAACAATTGAGTAGAGGAGAGTAATATTGGCTTTGTGTGGCTGGGCGTGGTGGCTCACACCTGTAATCCCAGCACTTTGGGAGGCCAAGGTGGGTGGATCACCTGAGGTCAGGAGTTCTAGACTAGCCTGGCCAACATGGTGAAACCCCATCTCTACTAAAAATGCAAAAAATTAGCCAGGCGTAGTGGCGAATGCCTGTAATTCCAGCTACTCGGGAGGCTGAAGCGGAAGAATCTCTTGAACCCGGGAGGTGGAGGTTGCAGTGAGCTGAGATCATGCCATTGCACTCCAGCCTGGGCAACAGGAGCGAAACTCTGTCTCAAAAAAAAAAAAAATTGGCTTTGCGCCGTACATGGACATCCGTTCTCCAGTTTGTTACAGTCCACGCCTGGCCCATTTGTCCCACTTTTGTTTCCTGGGGTCATCTGTAGGCATTTGAGTCTGTGGTTACTGAAGTCCAGCTGCTGTAGGCTGAATAATGGCCCCTCAAAAATATCCAAGTCCTAATCCGTGGAACCTGTGAATGTTACCTTAAATGGCAAAAGATTTTTGCAAATGTTGGCCAGGTGTGCTTGCTTGCGCCTGTAATCCCAGCACATTGAGAGACCAAGGCAGGCGGGTCACTTGAGGCCAAGAGTTCAAGACTAGCCTGGCCAACATGGTGAAACCCCGTCTCTACTAAAAATACAAAAAATTAGCTGGGCGTGGTAGTGGGCACCTGTAATCCCATGTACTCTGGAGGCTGAGGCATGAGAATTGCTTGAATCAGGGTGGCAGAGATTGCAGTGAGCTGGGATCGTGCCACTGCACTCCAGAGCGAGACTCTGTCTCAATAATAAATAAATAAATAAATAAATAAATAAATAAATAAATAAAGTTTTTTGCCAATGTCACTACATTAAGGATCTTGAGATAGGGAAGGTTATCCTGGATTGCCAGGTGGGCCCTTAGTAATCACAAGTATCCTTCTAAGAGGGAGGCAGGCTGGGCATGGTGGCTTATGCCTGAAATCCCAGCAGCTCAGCAGGCTGAGGTGAGAAGATTGCTTGAGGCCAGGAGTCCGAGACCAGCCTGGACAACATAGGAAGACCATGTCTCTGCAAAAAAAATTGAAAAATTAGCAAGGCATGGTGGCATGGAAATCCTGGAAATCCAGGACATTGTAAACCGCTCCCTGTTCTCCCAAGAGCTGGAAATATGACTGCCTTAGGCCAATCAGATGGTCCTCCAGGAGAGTGGTTCTCAAACTGGGTTATGCATCAGAATTACAGGGAGGGATTGTTAAAATCAAAATTGCTGGGGTTGGACCCCTAGCGTTTCCAATTTAGTGGTCTGGGCTGAGAATTTGCATTCCAAACAAGCTCCCAGGTATTGCTGGTTCAGGGGCTACATTCTGAGAACCTCTGCTCTCGGAATTTGAATCCTAGGAAATGAAAGACAGGCAGCGATCCCATCCTACAGAGATGGTTCACAGTTCCCATGATGAAATCCCTAAATCTGATCTGGTTCTTGGCATTCCAAGGGTCTGGTTATTCCTCTTTTTGTTTAACTTGGTGAGCCATCCTCTGAGTTTAATTCCCTTTTTCTTAAGGTAGAAAGACTTGGCGTCTGTTGCTTGCAAACAAAGAACTTTAACAGATTGAGCTTGCAAAAGTATACCCTCAATGTGATAAAAGGTGGGGCCCTGTGGAATACAAGACTTACAGAGCACAGGTTAGATGCAATCTCTATCTGCCAAGACTGTATTAATGTGGATCATAGACATCATTTATTAAAAGCCTACATTATGTTTTATGGATGCTAAGAGTTTTATAGGCATTTTATCAGTCTTACAGTTATTCTGAAAGAAAGATATTTCTATCTTTACTTTTCATTTGAGGAAATGGAGGTCCAGGAATTTACTACTGGAAAGATATAAAATCAACATAAATATAGTCAGTGAATGGTAGGCAATACTAAAAAAAAAGACAATATTTTCCTTCTTCTTAGCATGCTTCTCTCTCTCTCTCTTTTTCATTTTCTCTGGGTGACTAATGGTCCCATTAGCCTGCCTGCACTGTCCCTGTAAAAGTTCTTTTAAAGGGGCAACAGGAAACATTGATCTTGACCAGCTTGGGTGGTCTTGACCAGCTTGGGTGTTTAAAATTGATCTTGACCAGCTTGGGTGTTTAAAATTTTCCAGTTTGAGCCTGGAAAATTGGGTGTTTAAAATTTTCCAGTTTGAGCCTGGGCTTGGGGCCTAATGCTTGTAATCCCCCGAGGTGGGAGGATCGCTTGAGGCCAGGAGTTCAAGACCAACCATTTGACCAACTTCATCTCTACTAAAAACTTAAACATTAGTCTGAGATAGTGGCATGCTCCTGTAGTTCCAGCTACTTGGGAGGCTGAGGCAGGAGGATCACTTGAGCCCAGGAGTTCGAGGCTGCAGTGAGCTACGATCATGCCACTGCATTCCAGCCTGAGTGACAGAGTGAGACCCCATTTTTTTTAATTCCAGTTTGCTTTCTGTTTTAAGTGTTAGATGGTCCATAAAATCTAGAGATACCAGAAAAGTGATATTTGGCTTTTGACTTGCAAGTAGATAATCAAAGTAAGTATGACCTTTGGATTTCACATGGAAGGCACATGGGATGAATGGGATGCTAGCGGAATGGGGAAAAATTAGCTCGTTTTTATTTTTATTACAATAATATTTATTGGCAGCAGCCACTGATGAGCAGCAGCCATGTTTCTGTGGTCTCCCATGTCTGTGGGTCTCAGTGAGGGCCACAAGGTGAGGACCAAGAATGTGAGCAAGCATGGCCACTGCTGCCACCGCAGGCACCCCACCAAGCACAGAAAGTTCGTGTGGGACATGATGTGAGAGGTGTGTGGCTTTGTTCTATATAAGTGATGCACCTTGGAATTGTTCAAGGTCTCCAAGAAAAAGTGGACCCTCAAGTTCATCAAGAAGAGAGCGGGGACACACATCTGCACCATAAGAAGTGAGAGGAGCTGGGCAATATCTTGACCTCCAGGAAGCGAATGGCTGCCAAGAAGAACTGAGACTTCTTCCCCTTCTGTGTATAATAAAACCTTTACGGAAAAAAAAGAGAATGCTTACTTGTATTGGATGCTTATGTTCCATCTTGCATCACTTCACTCATCTTTTACCTTAGTCACTGCTGTAGCAACTGGCTTTGTGCACGTGTAACCTGACAGTCGTTCCTGTTAGCTGCACAGTGTACCTCCTGCTTTTTGCCCCAGAGCATCTCTGCTGCCTTGGTACGGAACATCCATGATAATCCGTTTACTTATACCCAATCTAGAAGTGGGAGGTTGTTAAAGCTCCTTGGCTTAGCCTTTCTCTAGTAGGGGATGAGAGTCACTGGACAAATGCTTTCCTCTTCTGGCTCTTATCTCTTGGGAGGACAATTCTGAGCTGTGTTCTAAGGCTCCTTAGAAGGTGCTAATGGAATGAGCCTAAATTGCCACAGTAGGACCAACTCAGAGATGCTCTTTCTTTTTTTTGTTTTTTTGAGACAGAGTCTCGCACTGTCGCCCAAGCTGGAGTGTAGTGGTGTGAATATACGCCCAACCATATACTCTAATTTTCTACAGTGAAGGTTGTCCAAGCCTGGTTTCCCACAGTAAGCAAGCCTGAGCCCTGGGTTTGTAGGCAGCTAGTTTATTTACAGAAGTGATTCTAGAGAAGAGGCCTGAGAGACTAAGAAGAGTTAGACAAGGAATAAGGGACAGTTAATTGCAAGAGCATCTTTGAGCCTGGAGTGGTGGCTCACACCTGTAACCCCAGCACTTTGGGAGGCTGAGGTGGGTGGATCACTTGAGGTCAGGAGTTCAAGACTAGTCTGGCCAACATGGTGAAACCCTATCTCTACTAAAAATACAAAAACTTAGCCAGGTGTGGTGGCGGGCACCTGTAGTCCTAGCTACTCAGGAGGCTGAGGCAGGAGAATGGCGTGAACCCGGGAGGCGGAGCTTCCAGCGAGCCGAGATCGCGCCACTGCACTCCAGCCTGGGCAACAGAGCGAGACTCCGTCTCAAAAACAAAACAAACCAAACAAACAAACAAACAAAAAACCATTTATTGAGCATGTATTAATCACCAGTCTCAAAGCTAAGAGTTGCCAATCTAGAAGGGAAGGGATATATATATATACATAAAAATAAAATTACAAATTGTGTTATGTATTATGATGAGAAGTACAGGATGCTGTGAGAATGAGTAACAGGGATACCTGATGTTTCTTGAGTGGAGGTTGGAAGATTAAGTGAAATGTGAGTTGAGATATGAAAGATGTGTAGGAGTTAACCAAGTCAAGGTGGGGGGAAAAGTTCCCTGCTGAGGGAATATCAGGTGCAAAGAAAACATTTTTAAGTGGAACGCCATCGTATGTCATTTTCTTTCCCATCTTAAAGCCCTTGGATTTCCTTCTGGAAATCTCTCTCCTAAGATCTGACCTTCCCTTGGCTGGTTTCTCTTTCAGATTTTTAAAAAAAAATTTTTATTTCCACAGGTTATTGGGAACAGGTGGTATTTGGTTACATGAGTAAGTTCTTTAGTGGTGATTTGTGAGATTTTGGTGCACGCATCACCCGAGCAGTATACACTGAACCCAAGTTATAGTCTTTTATCCCTCCCCACCTTCCCACCCTCCCCTCGTCCCCCTCCCCTGTTCCAAAGTCCCATAAGTCATTCTTATGCTTTTGCATCCTCGTAGCTTAGCTCCCACTTATATGTGAGAACATACGATGTTTGGTTTTCCATTCCTGAGTTACTTCACTTAGAATAATAGTCTCCAATCCCATCCAGGTTGCTACGAATGCCATGAATTCATTCCTTTTTTATGGCTGAGTAGTATTCCACCATATGTATATATCAGTTTCTTTATCCACCTGTTGATTCTCTTTTAGATTTTAATTTAAATAACATCTTAAACAGACTTTCACTATCAATCCTTACTCCCCTTACCTTACCTTATTTTGTTTTCTTCCTAATACCTATCACTGATTTAAATGTTCATATTTCTTTGTTTAAAGTCTCCCTACTTAAACGCATGCTCCAAGACGTCAGAGTTTTTGTTTTGTTTTACAGATTTAAATGCTGAATTCTTGGTGCCTGGCATATAGTAGTTGCTGAATGAATGTTTGTTGAATGAAGGAACAATGCTTGGCGCAAAGTCAGAGCTTAGCAAAAGTGATAGGCAGCAGAGCTGACGGGCTGAGGGGCAGCTGCGTAAACCTCTGCTTTGGGCGCCACAAGCCACAAGCCGGACCACCACGTGCGTACAGGGGCAGCGCCGGGGGCGTGGCGGGGGCGTGGACGCCCACCCGGAACCCTAGAGCGGCGGCGGCAGCGGCTTCCGGCCGCGGCGGACACTTCCCTGGGCGGGACTGTCTCGTGGCACCCGGTGGAACCGAGGAGAACGTGGAGCGCCGGGAGCGGCGAATATGGACGACTACAGCCTGGATGAGTTCCGTCGGCGCTGGCAGGAGGAGCTGGCGCAGGCCCAGGCGCCGAAGAAGCGGCGACGGCCCGAGGCTGCCGAGAGGCGGGCTCGGCGGCCGGAGGTGGGCTCCGGGCGCGGCGAACAGGCCTCGGGGGACCCGGCGCTGGCCCAGCGTCTCCTGGAGGGCGCGGGGAGGCCCCCGGCGGCGCGGGCGACTCGGGCCGAGGGGCAGGACGTAGCGAGCCGCTCACGTTCTCCTCTGGCCCGCGAGGGCGCCGGGGGCGGGGAGCAGCTGGTGGACCAGCTCATCCGCGACCTGGTGAGTGGCCGTCGCCTCCCCCCCGCCCATGCCTGCGCCGGCCCCCGCCCCCAGGACAAACCCCTGCAGTGATTTGGAGAGTAACTGTGTGCCACTAGTTGCCCGAGAAAATGAGTAGACGCACAAACACCAATGTTTGTGCTTGCATAGGGGTCTTTCTGGAAGCAGCACTTCCCAACCAGGGCGATTTTGTTCCCCCAGATGTGGCAGTGTCTGCAGACATTTTTGGGTGCCTCATCGGGGTGTGTATGTGTGCATGTTACTGGGCATCTAGTGGGTAGAGGCCAGAGATGCTCCTGAACATCCTACAGTGTACAGGACACCACGCACAAAAAAATTATCCAGGACAAAATATCAGTAAGTGTGGGGTTGAGAAATCCTGCTCTTGAAGGCTACCTAAACTTTGAACAAAGGTTGCCTTTGAAAAGGAGGACCCAGATGATGGATAGGAAGTAATTTTACCTTTGTATACTGTTTGCACTATTTAATTTTTGTAACCGTGCACGTATTCAAAAAAATTATCTCAGAAAAAAAGGAAGAAGAGGAGGAAGAATCTCCTGGGCACTTTCATTAGGATAGAGTTTCTTATCTTTTTGTGGGGCGTGGATACCTTGGAGAATCTGGAGGAAGCTGGGGACCCTGTGTCCGTTAAAAATAATCCCCTTCAGAAAGTTGGGAAAATCAAGAACACCTGAAATGCATCCGTGGCTCCCAGGTTAAGAGGACAAGGCTCCAGGTTCTAATGGTTTGATTTAAATTAGGCCCAAAGGAAGTCCCTACAGCTTTACAATTGGGAACCCACTTTTTTTTTTCCTGTTTTTTTTTTTTTTTCTTTCTTTCTTTCTTTTCTGAGACAGGGTCTTGCTCTGTTGCCCAGGCTAGAGTGTACTGTTGCTCTCCCGGCCCACTGCAGCCTCAAACTGCCTGGCTCAAGCCATCCTCTTCCCTCAGCATCCCGCGTAGCTGGGACTACACGCATGCGCCACCACACTCAGCTAATTTTTTAAATTTTTTGGTAGAGACAAGGTCTCCCTGTATTGCCCAGTCTGGTCTCAAACTCCTGGGCCCAAGTGATCCTCCCAATTGAGAATCATTCTTTTTTTTTTTTTTTTTTTTTGAGACGGAGTCTCGCTCGCTCTGTCGCCCAGGCTGGAGTTGCAGTGGCGCGATCTCGGCTCACTGCAAGTTCCGCCTCCTAGGTTCACGCCATTCTCCTGCCTCAGCCTCCCCAGTAGCTGGGACTAACAGGCGCCCACCACCACGCCCGGCTAATTTCTTTTTGTATTTTTAGTAGAGATGGGGTTTCACTGTGTTAGCCAGGATGGTCTCGATCTCCTGACCTCGTGATCCGCCCGCCTCGGCCTCCCTAAGTGCTGGGATTACAGGCGTGAGCCACCGCGCCCGGCCGAGAATAATTCTTTTAAGTGGCAAGCTGTTTCAAGAAATAATGGCCTATTATTTTATGTAATATGTAGTTTACTCAAATAGCATTAATAGCTACTATTTGAGTTTTTACCAAGTGTTTAGTCCTGTGCTCTGCCCTAATTCGAATATAACAATCCTGTGAGGTAGATTTTAACTCTCCTTTTACAAATGAAGAAACTCAGAGATTCTCTGTAACTTGCCCAGCATTACCCCACTGATAGATTCTGGGGATTGAATTTGGATCCAGGTCTTTTCAACTCCAAGTTTCACCACGTGAACTTGAGTTGGCATAAGAATCACTTGAGGCTTGGTTATAATATAGGTTCTGGGCCCTCCCCAGACCTGCTAACTCCATCACCAGGGAAGGGGCCCTGAAATCTGATGACTGGTATGATCAGGCAAGTTTAAGACATTATACTCTACTGTATAGCCTCCTTTGGTTTAAGGTCCTGATTCTCAAGGCTTTCCATTTGTAACACCTTAGAGGTATAGGCATTGATGCCAAAAATAGTAAAGAAGCAAATCATGTACAGTTGACCTTTGAACAACCTGGGGGGTTAGGAGAACTGACCTCCTTGCAGTCAAAAATCTGTGTATAACTTTTGACTCTCCCAAAACTTAACTACGAATAGCCTACTGTTGACCAGAAGCCTTATAGATAAGTCAGTTAACACATATTTTGTATCTTCTGTGTGTTATATACTGTAGCATTATAATAAAGTAAGCTAGAGGAGAAAGTGTCATTAAGAAAATTATAAGAGAAAATGTATTTACTATTCATTAAGTGAAAGTGGCTCATCACAAAGGCCATCATTCTCATTGCCTTCATGCTGGGTAGGCTGCTGCTGCTGCTACGAAGGAGGGATTGGTCTTGCTGTCATAGTGGTGGCAGAGGTGCAAGGAGAGGCAGGCACATTCGATGCAACGTTTATGGAAAAAACCTGCATACAAGTGGACCCACGCGGTTCAAACCCATGTTGTTCAAGGGTCTGTAGTATTCTGAAAATAGAAGGGACCTGCATACTGGAGAATCTGGAGGGTACATCTGAATCTATTTCATGTTGTTGGAAAAGGCCTTCCCTGTCTTCCTGGAATTCATTTCCCTGGTCTCCTCTGCCCCCTTCAGAATCACCACATTAGGTACTACTAGGTTCTCTATGAGTAGCATACAACTTTTGGGGCACCTCTAATTTTAAAGAGGACTTTGTAGGCCAGGTGTGGTGGTACACACCTGTAATCCCACCACTTTGGAGGCCAAGCCAGGAGGATTGCTTGAGCCCAGGAGTTCAAGACCAGCCTGGGCAACATAGTGAAACCCTGGTTCTACAAAAAATTTAAAAAATTTAGCTAGGTGTGGTGGTGCACCCCTTTAGTTCTAGCTACTTGGGAGGCTGAGGTGGGAGGATCGCTTGAACCCAGGAGGCTGAGGCTGCAGTGAGCCATGATTGCACCACTGCACTCCAGCCTGGGTGACACAGCAAGACCCTGTCAAAAGCAGGCAAAAAGCAAACTTTGTGGCTGGGCAAGGTGGCTCATGCCTGTAATCCTAGCACTTTGGGAGGCTGAGGTGGGTGGATGGATCTCTTGAGCTCAGGAGCTCAAAACCAACCTGGGCAACGTAGAGAAACCCCATCTCTACAAAAATTGGCCAGCGTGGTGGCATGTTCCTGTAGTCCTCACTACCTGGGAGGCTGATGTGGGAGGATTGATTGAGGCCAGGAGGTCGAGGATGCAGTGAGCCGGGATCACACCACTGCACTCCGGCCTAGGTGACAGAGCGAAACCCTGTCTCAAAAAAAAAAAAAAAAAAAAAGGCTGGGCCTGGTGGCTCATACCTGTAATCCCAGCACTTTGGGAGGCTGAGGTGGGCAGATCACCTGAGGTCAGGAGTTCGAGACCAGCCTAACCAACAAGGAGAAACTCTGTCTCTACTAAAAATACAAAATTAGCCAGGCATGGTGGTGGGTGCCTGTAATCCCAGCTACTCAGGAGGCTGAGGCAGGAGAATCTCTTGAACCCAGGAGGCGGAGGTTGTGGTGAGCCGAGATCGTGCCATTGCACTCCAGTCTGGGCAACAAGAGCAAAATTCCATCTCAAAAAATAAAAAATGAAAACAAGACTTTGCAATCATTAGTAACACTGCTATAAATAAAGTTATAATTCATTGTGTGCGTAAACTGTCTCCTTGGTACTGTCTTAAGGGTTTAGAGACATTATCGTCTTCATTTCTCCCAACAACTCTCTCCAGTGGCTATTTTCAACTAATCTGTAGATGAGCATTAGGAAAGTAACTGATTTTTAGATAATAAACCTACTCCTTCTCTCCAGGCTGATAAATGATGACAAGGTTTATGGAAAAGGCTTGGATTCCTGTGTCAGTGGTTGCAAGCCCCAGAGCCCACAGGGCTAAGGCAGGTAATGCACGTGAGTGAGGTAGGCTGGGTGTTGCACATTAGGTCTTTTCTCCCAGCTCATCAGGTGTTTTTATGTGTTCTGGTCATAGCTTTATAATTCGTTTCATAGTGGCAGCTGTTCTTTTTGTCACAATTAAACATGTAGGAATTGTCTTTAAACATGGCCATCTTGGTCTTGTTTTCCCACTTTTAAAAGTTTTTAAGCTCAAACTATGTATTGACCTTTACAAGGGCCTAAATACACAGCTTGATGAATTTTCAAGTGTACACATCCATGTAAACAGCAGCCAGGTCACAGGGCAGCATCACCAGCATGTCAGAACCACCTCCCCTGCCCTGTGTTCCCTTCCACCCAAGGGTAACCACTCACCTGACTTCTCTTCCACCCAGGGGTAACCACTCACCTGACTTCTCTTCCACCCAAGGGTAACCACTCACCTGACTACTTTTTTTTTTTTTTTTTTTTTTTTTTTTGGGAGATAGAGTCTTACCCTGTAACCTAGGCTGGAGTGCGGTGGCATGATCTTGGCTCACTGCAACCCTGACTTCCCGGGTTCAAGTGATTCTTGTGCCTCAGCCTCCTTAGTAGCTGTGACTACAGGCATGCACCACCACGGCCTGCTCATTTTTGTATCTTTGGTAGAGATGGGGTTTCACTATGTTGGCCAGGCTGGTTTTGAACTCCTGGCCTTGTGATCTGCCCGCCTCGGCCTCCCGAAGTGCTGGAACTACAGGTGTGAGCCTGCATGCCTGGCCTCACCTGACTTCTAACACCACATTTAGTTTGTTTGTTTTTGAACTGTATATTAAGTGGAGTCAAACAGCACATACTCATGTGTCTTTGAGTTCTCGTGTATGGCATTATCTGTGAGATTGATCCCTATGAATATGCCACATCTTATCTACTGTTGATGGGAATTGTTGCTAGTTTGTTGATAGCCAGTTTGGGACTCTCAGATATAGTGCCACCATAAATGTTTTGTACATCTTCTGAAAAATGTGTCCACATTTTTCCTGAGTATTCATTTGGGAGTGGAATTGGTGAGTCATAAGGTATGCATAGATTAGCCTTGGTAGATACTGACAGTTTTCCAAAGTAGTTGTACTGGTTTTCTCACTTTTGATAGTAACTTGTGTATGTGGAATGTAGTATTTCACTTTCTTCTTTACCATAAATCAACACCCAGCTGAGATGACATGACAGCAGAACTTGACCCCAGCATGGGCAAGATGATAAAGACACATTGGGAAATACATGCCATGGCTGGGGTCAGGGTAATAACCACTGCCCCCATTAGCTGGTTGTTGCCCTGTAGGAATGTGGTCCCAGTGTTGTAAGGTCTTTAGATTTTTTTTTTTAATTGGGAATATGTATTTTTATGTGGACTCCTTCAGTTTTTTCTGCATGAGAAAACCATCCAAGCTGGGCATGGTGGCACATGCCTGTACTCCCAGCTGCTGGGGGAGTTGAGGCAGGAGGATCACCTTAGCCCAGGAGTTTGAGACCAGCCTGGGCAAAATAGATTCTGTCTCACTTAAAAACACCATCCAAAACGTTGGCTTAAAACAACCACGATTTAGCTCACCATTTTGCAGGGTGGCAGCTTGGGCTGGGCATGGGTGAGCTCACTCGTGTGTCTGAGGTTAGCTGTGGTCACCTAGGCTGCTCTGCTTCTAGGGGTTGGCTAATTGTGCGTGTGTGTGTGTGTGTGTGTGTGAGAGAGAGAGAGAGAAAGAGGTGTGTATCTGGGTTATGAGTCATCATACAGCAGCTTAGCTTAGCCCCAAGTGGGCATTCTCAGAGTTACAAGAGCAGCAAGAGGGCGAGCCCCAGTGGCCAGATGCAATGGTGCTTTTGAAGTCTGCATAGGTCATGTTTGTTATTCTCATGTGGCCAAGTCCAGAGTCAGTGTGGATTTACCCAAGTGCTTGGATACAGAGAGACATGAACAAATTTGGGGCCATCACTATGTCAGTCTACCTCAAAAGCTCTTCCAATTTTTAATTGTTGGTAACTAATAAAAATTAATAAGATTTTAGGTGCTAACATTGCAGGTTAAACAAAACCTGTCAGTGGGCTAGATCTGCCTTGGGTAACCATTTTATCATCTTTGCCTTGTGCCTTCCCAAGAATCCTTGCTTGATCCATGGGTGGCTCCTGAAAGGAAGAGTTAGTTCCATTTGAGACTCCCTAGAATCTTTAACAGAAGCTGATCCACTTGACATGAATGGGAAATAAAATCTGGTACTACCTTCTTACACTTCCTCCCTGCCCCCGTTTCTTCTCCAACCTTTGGCACTTTCATTAGTGCACCCTGTTGTATTTCTGGTGCAGTCTCCTCCACTTCAGAGTCTTCAGTATCCATCACTAGAGAGAGAACAACTAATAAGTTAGCAATCAAAAGTGAAGTTGCCTTTGGATGGGTAGGTGAGCAGTGCTGCCTTGGAGTGTCATCTGGCTGGTATAGGCCAGAACCTCTGATGGGCAAGCAAAGCTGACATGAAAACGCAGGACTCACTGGGCATGGTGGCTTATGCCTGTAATCCCAGCACTTTGGGAGGCCGAGGTGGATGGATCACGAGGTCAGGAGATCAAGACCATCCTGGCTAAGACGGTGAAACCCTGTCTCTACTAAAAAATACAATAATTAGCCGGGTGTGGTGGCACGTGCCTGTAGTCCCAGCTACTGGGGAGGCTGAGGCAGAAGAATTGCTTGAACCCGGGAAGCAGAGGTTGCAGTGAGCCGAGATTGCGCCACTGCACTCCAGCCTGGGTGACAGAGCAAGACTCCACCTCAAAAAAAAAAAAACAAAAAAAAAACAACGCAGGACTCCTCCCAAGCCTCATGTTTTATGAAGCTTTTAGTAATAGCACTTAGCAGCCATCTCTTTTTAGGTGATGAGTTGGGAATACCTCAGTTGGCACCTGATAGAGTTCTTAGTATAAGTAAACTAGTGAAAGAACACATCCCTGGTCAGAATTTCAGAGGCAGTAGGCACTTTCTCTGTTGTCTTCTCTTCTCCTCTGTTCATAAACCCAGGCTTCTTGGAGATAGTGGATATACCTGAGTATAATTGCAAGTGTGCTGCTTTCTTCAGTGGAGTGGCTGTGATACCAACTTGCTTGGGCTCCATTTTTATTTAGGTGGTGTATCAGGACTCTGGGCTGCAGGCAACAAGCACCCAACCCAAACTGGCTTAAAAACCCAAACTGGAATCTATTGATTCCTGTAACTGAAAATTCCAGGTGGTAATGTTTGTTCTGGGTGCTTACCTAAGGTAAGTAGGATTTGCCTTCTCTTAATCCTGCTTTCCTTTTGTTGACTTTATTCACAGACAGGCTTTCCTCTTGGGGAAAAATGGCTACCAGCAACTCTAGTCTTCTATCTGCTTAGCAACTCAAGGGAAAGAGAGCTGCAAGTCATGAACCTAAATTCCCATTGCTGCAAACTGGGTCATGTGTCCACCTTTCAGCCAATCACTGATTCAAATTGTTCAGACTCGAATCCATTGCCCATTCCTGAAGATGAAGGTGAGGTCAGCTCTGCCTAAATTGTGTTGACTAAGAGTGGGAGTGGGATGGTTTCCTAAATAGAGGAAGTGGATGTTGGGCAGGAAAAAAGAGCAATAACTGATATCCATTTTAGGTGGGTGTGTGACGCAGCACTAACTGAGAATACAGTAGTCCCACCTTATCCACTGGAGATACATTTCAAGACCCCCGGTGGGTGCTTGAAAATGCAGATAGTACTGAACCCTGTATATGCCATGTTTTTTTTTCCTATATACACAGAGCAATGATAAAGTTTATAAACAAGGCACAGTAAGAGATTAACAGCAACAACAAAATAGAACAATTACAACAGTATACTATAATGTTATATGAATGTGGGCTCTCATAATACTGTACTGTAAGTAACTGATGCTATGGAAAGCAAAACCGCGGATAAGGGGGGACGACTGTGTTTTCTGTTCATCCAACATATATTCATTGATCAGCTCAGTGCTGGGGAATCAGCAGTAAACAGAATGGCTCCTTGTCCTCAGAGAGCCTAAAGTCTTGTTTCTTTTAACTAAAAGAATGACATTAATGGAGTCAGGACAGTCTTGGCTATGGGGCTGGGCTCTGCAGTCAAGCAGACCTGAGTTCAGATTCTGGCTCTGCTGTTACCAGTTTGCCTTGGGCAAGTTAATTTCCCCTGCCTTAGCTGTCAAATGATGATGATGTTAGTACCTATCTCGTGAAGAGGCAATGAAATAGGCATGGAACTTAGCACTGAGCCTGGAGTACAGTAAGGGCCCAATAAATGTAAGCTGGTGCCATTATCGTTAGTACTCAGAGTTTGCTATGCTATTTTACTTCCTCTTTACTGAAGCTTATCACCGATAAGCCCTTAGCTTCCGCCTCTTGTGAATCCCTGGAGGGCAGGATCTGTTGCCTTACTGTTCTAACTCCACCTGCCTTACTAGTACAGTAGGGGCCCTATCTATGTTTGTTGAGTTGAAATAATGTGGGCAAAATTGCTGCTTCTGACTGCGACTTTATAAAGGCTCTATGATTGTTAGAACCCTTGAACATTCAAAGCATCCTTCCAGGTTAAGATATGGAGTTTTAGGTCTGCTGAAAGTTTTAATACTGCTGGCCAATATTTATCACTCACCATGTCAATATTTAACCTGTCAGATCCTGCATCTGTGTTGCCAACAAGATAGATTTAATGGCTTAACCTTCTTCTGTTTTTAAGTTAAACACAAATAAGTAAGCTCCCTAATGTGAACACTTTTCTTCTGGCTAATATGCAGTGAGACAGCAAACCAAACCAAATGTGTACTCATGAATTGACTTAACTGGAATAACTTCCTTTCCTCTTTCCTGTTCTTTGCCTGCCTTTTAAAGCTCAGCTTGAGTTCTGTCTCCTGTGTTAATTCTTCCGTGATTTCTCCAGCCCAAATTTCTCCCTTTCCCCCAACTAAAAAGTTCTTATCCTCAGTGCTGTTCATTTTTTCATGTTATTCGTGAATTAGCAGGCCTCCACTTACGAACCTTTTGAAATGATGCCTGTGTATACTAGAACAACTTGTGACTTACATGCGGTCTTTGTTGGAACGGTCTGCTGCTTGAAGCAGCTTGGGTTTCATTCATATCCCACAAATATTTATTAAGTGTCTTCTTGGTACCAGCCACTGTTCCAGGCACTGAGAATATAGCATTGAACAAGGCAGAAAAAAGCCTGTGCCCTTGTGTAACTTACATTCTGGGGAAGAGGGAGTTAGACAATGGACAAATAATTGTCAGGTAATAAATAAATGTTCTGGAGAAGAAATAAGCAGACAGGATAGAGTGTATCTGCCAGGGGAGGGGCTGTAATTTTAAATAGTGCTGTCCAACAGGGTCTTTCTGGGAAGGTCACATTTCATGGAGAACCTAAAGGAGGTGAGGAGTGAACATACAGAGATCTGGGGGAGGGGATTCTAGGCCAAGACGGGCAAGTGCAAAGGTTCTGTGGTGACCAGGACCCGCACTTAGTTTAATGCTCTGTTGCCTTGATCATTTGTAATGATCTTAATCATTTGTGACCAACAGGCCCCCCAAATTCTATAGCCAATCCTGATGGTGGGAATGTGCCTGCAGTGTTTGGGACCCTTAATGTGAACATCTTTACTCTTTTCACAAACCCACTGTGGTTTCAAAAACCACACCCACTGTGGTACCCCTCTGGGACCTGAAGCTTCTCCTCTTCCTGTCTTCTCTCCTCGCCATGTCCTAAAGCTCAGATCCCAGTTTAGACTAAAAGGGGGCTCAAAGCAGAGGCCCAGCCCATTTTGCTTCACACCACCCTCCTTCACCACCACACCCAGCCTCCTGGGATTTCCCCCAGCACTTGCATTTCTTTAGATTGGCATCTTCTACCTTCTTTCCTTGCCAGAGTCCCCAGGAGAGTGAGAATATGTCTTGAAGCTGGAAAGCCTATTCTCGTAAAAAAAGGATAAATCAAATTCCATGGACATTTATTGTGCATCTACTGTGTGCAATGCACTGAGCTGGTTAGATTCTATAGTATTATAGTTCACTTATATCACCCGCACATGTGATCAACAAACATTTATTGAATACCTTTTGCTCTTCCTCATAGCTAGGCATGGGGATTAGGTTAAATGTTAAGAGACGAATTGTTTTTTTGTGGACTGCTTGGGAGCTTAGCCGCTCTTTGTAGCATTGTTTGTTTGGAGAAATGTTTTCCAGCTTCTATATGGCTGGCTTACTAATGAACTTTGGAGTACCTTAGGGGACGATCTATATTGCCTGTTGTAGTCTCCTGTATTTCATTTTACGTGACAATGACTTACCTCTATAAAAGATTTTAGCTCTTTGAGTGTAGACCATTTCTTATATACTTGCTAACAGCACCTCCCTCCCCCTAGCACCTGGTGTGGCCCTGAATTTAGATAGTATTTTGAACATAAGTTACCTTACTTTAAAAATGTGTTGCTTTTCTGTGTCTGTGAAAATATCATGTGCTCACTGTAGAAATATTTAGGAAATTCAGAAGAATAGAAGAAAATAAAAGTCTTTAGTAATATAATTGCTTAGAGGCTACCATTGTTAACATTTTGGTGTATTTCTGACTTTTTTTTTTTTTTTTTTTTTTTTAGACAGGCTCTCTCTCGCTTTTGCCTAGGCTGGAGTGCAGTGGTGTGATCATGGCTCTGTAGCCTTGACCTCCCATACTCAAGCTATCCTCCCACCTCAGCCTCCTAAGTAGCTGGAACTACAGGTGCATGCCACCACACCTGGCTCATTTATTTTTATTTTGTCTAGAGACAGTGTCTCACTATGTTACCTGGGCTGGTCTTGAACTCCTGGCCCCTAATGATCTGTCTATCTCAATCACCCAAAGTGTTGGGATTACAGATATGAGCCACTGTGCCTGGCCTATTTCTGACTTTTTTTCTTTTTGTATATAAGAATATATATTTCGAGACAAATTGTGGATTATAAATGGATGCTTATTTATCTCGACTGCCTTTCAGACCTTTTTCCCCCAGCCAACCAGTTTTTTTCTTCTCAAAGAAGACACAGGTGAAACTGAAACTCATCTATTTCTTCTGATTGAGATTGTGTGGGTCTACTCCACTCAGCTTTTGCAGTACATGGAAAGTTGAGATAAACGCCTAAAGAAACTAGTTTCAGTCATAGATTTAGTAAAAATGTTATTGCAAATCTCTTCTTTGAACTCAAGGTGCTTTTCTCAGTTTCTTAAACCACCACCCAGAGAGATCTTTCATGTCCTCTTTGCCCTGGAGATGTACATTGGGAACAAAAACCTTAAGTCAGTTTCTTCACTTTTTACTGCTTTGGCTCTTAGTAATTATCTGTTCTTCTATTAAACAAGAGAAGACAGATTAAATTTCTAACAGTAAGGCACAAAACCAATCCATTTACAGAATTAGTCTTACATTAGCACATAGGAATACAAATCAGCCTCCCTGGGGATGGATCTCTTTGCAATTTCTCTCAGTGTTTTTGGAGTAAGTCCAGTAGACTTTGGGAAAATCTAGTATTCACTGACTTTAAATTAAATAAGTAATATGACCCCTTTGAGTGTGTGTGTGTGTGTTTTTTTTCCCTTGACTAGGAAAAAGGGGATGGATAGATTTTTATATCTGCCTATGATGTATGGTTGTGTTCTCAACTTTTAGTGTGCATGAGGATCGCCTGAGAAAGAGGTGCTTGAGGCCGGGTGCAGTGGCTCATGCCTGTAATCCCAGCACTCTGAGAGGCCAAGGCAGGTGGAGGCCGAGAGTTCGAGACTAGCCTGGCCAACATGACAAAACCCTGTCTCTACTAAAAAATACAAAAATTAGCTAGATGTGGTGATGTGTGCCTGTAATCTCAGCTACTTGGGAGGCTGAGGCATGAGAATCGCTTGAACCTGGGAGGCAGAGGTTTCATTGAGCCAGGATCGTGCCACTGCACTCCAGACTGGGCGACAGAGCGAGACTCTGTCTCAAAAGAAAAGGAGGTGCTTGAGCCCTAACCCTGGAAATTCAGGGCAGTAGGTCTTGGTAGGGCCCTTGGCATTTTTTTTTTTAAATTCCACAGGTGATTTTAATGTGTAATACAGGACGAAAGTCCCCAATAGTGGTAGAGAATCGATATCTGAGACATTGTCAAAGAATTAAAAGCAAGGTTGTATGTTATCAAACAGATACTTTTCCTTAACATTGAAGGAATACTAATATTTTGAATTTATTGGTTTCCTATAGAATAAATTTGGCCAGTCTCACATTGCTGAGAGCTATTCAACTACTGCAAAATTATTTTCTTTTTTTTTTTGTTTTGAGACAGAGTCTCGCTCGCTCTGTCACCCAGGCTGGAGTGCAGTGGCGCGATCTCGGCTCACTGTAAGCTCTGCCTGCCGGGTTCACGCCATTCTCCTGGCTCAGCCTCTCGAGTAGCTGGGACTACAGGCGCCTGCCACCACACCCGGCTAATTTTTTGTATTTTTAATTAATTAATTAATTTATTTATTTATTTATTTTGAGACGGAGTCTTGCTCTGTCGCCCGGGCTGGAGTGCAGTGGCGCGATCTCGGCTCACTGCAAGCTCCGCCTCCCAAGTTCACGCCGTTCTTCTACTTAAGCCTCCTGAGTAACTGGGACTACAGGCGCCTGCCACCAGGCCCGGCTAATTTTTTTATTAGAGACGGGGTTTCACCATGTTAGCCAGGATGATCTCCATCTCCTGACCTCGTGATCCGCCTGCCTCGGCCTCCCAAAGTGCTGGGATTACAGGCGTGAGCCACTGCACCCGGCCCAAAATTACTTTCTCTAAATATTGTAGCCATGTTGATATTTTTATAGTTTGACCAGATTTCTCTATTTTAATATTTCTAATGTCTTTAATTCCTTTTCCTTCTTCTTGGAATATCTTTGTTTCTGAAATGACAGGTTGTCCATTTTCATGTTTTTAAGTCAGTGTTGTCCATTTTCATGTTTTTAAGTCAGTGTAGAGTTGGGTTAACGTGGCCCATAACTTTTTGGATGGCTATGTGCTTCGCAGTAGTCTAGGTGGAACACTGATAGCATCTTTATTTATTTATTTTTAATGGACACATTATAATTGTACATATTTATGGGGCACGGTGTCATATATGTATACAATGTATATTGACCAAATCAGGGTAATTAATGTATCCATCACCTAAAACGTTTATTATTTGTGTTGTAAACATTCAAAATCTGTTCTTCTAGCTATTTGAAAATATACAATAAATTGTTGTGAATTATAGTCAACCTGTAGTGCCACAGAGAACCAGAACTCATTCCTCCTGTCTAGCTGCACTTTTATATCCATTAACCAACCTCTGTCTGATAGTGTGTTTTAGATAACAAGGTATTTCTCTGCACACTAGTAGCAAGTAGTGTTTTTAACCTACATTTATGAACTGTGGGAAGTACCCAATCAGAGTGCCTAAGACATTCTGCTGCCCGACAGTAGTAGGATTTATGTGGTTACTAGACCACAGCTTTTGTCCAGGATGTGGCTTCATATCCTTGTCAGATCATGCACACTAATAAAAGAGGTGTGTTTTCAACCACAGGGCCAAATATGCTCACAACTCTGCCTCTTGTAAGGTGTTTCTCAAATGATATTTCCAATAATAACAAACTGAAGTTGATGAATTAGTTACTAAACCTTGAATTTACTCTGGTTTGTCTGGTGGAGTGATGTCACTCATTTACCTGCATTCTAGTATCCTCCTCAAGTAGGGGAGAGGAAGTAGCTTACCTAGACTAATGTCTCTGGAGGTGTGCTTAAGAAACCTTGGGAATATATTGAACACAGGACTATCGTGGGTCATGTCTATCACTTTGGTTAAAAAAAAAAAAGATTGAACTTTTCAAAAAATAGATTCTGAAATGGAGATTTGCATGTAGGTGGTTTAGTGGGTTTTCCTTTCAGAGAGGTCCTGAACTGAGCAAGGGGGCCAGGCCTTTGTACCCAGCCATGGACTAGTCATTGGATACAGGCTGCCTTAGTGGGGTGGGAGGGGATGCAACCTGGGTGAGTCAGCTTGTTTGGCCAAAGGCATTGCCTAGGAAGGGACTCAGCTGTGAGTCAACAGCAGGCAGCATTTTCATCTAGGGGAATGAGTGGGACCGGAAGCGGGATCTGAGTGACCCACTGCAGTATCTATGGCAAGGACCATTGATAGAATATGTTGCCAGAATTACTCTAAGTGTGCGGCATGAAACTTGAGCATTTGGTCTCCTCACCTTGGAGGAGTCTACATATTTCTTAAGATATGGACCTTCCGTTAGTGTATTGGTTTCTTTTTTTTCCCTGCCATTTTCCAGTGGTTACCAACATGGAAGGTCATCTACATGAAAGTCTGGGACTTGATCTCTTTTGGAGTTTAGATCATAATTCTGAGAGCACAGTGACTTTTTTTTAAAAAAAGTTTGGCTGTGTAATGTCGTTTACAAAATTACAATTCAATGCTTTGAAACAGTGGTTGCCCTTCAGAACTTGTAAATGATCAAGAACCATCATAATGCATGCATTAACAGTGAGACCAGCATGAGGTCTCATTTTTATTCTTAATAGCATACCTATTTCATAGAGTGGTTATATCTCTTTTACAGATGAGAAAGCACAGATGCACTTAGCCTGGTGGCTTGTTGGTAAGGTGACTGAACAGGTGTATCAGTTTGAATCTTTGCTCTGAACCTCCATGCTGGGTTGCATCCCAGGGATTATGGTGGTTGGGATCAAGGATACTGGTGGCAGGGCTAGGGTGATGCCAAGATACGGGCATTGTCTTCCATGATGAGGATGGAGGCCAGGCCAGCTGAGTAGGCAAAAGACAGAAGGCTCCTGTTACTAGAGGTAAGACTTTTCTGCACTAGAACAGCTAAAAACAAAGATGATGATGTCCTTTGCCTCATCAGAATAGCATCAAGTCCAGACACCAGTTCCTAGTGAGTCTTAAGTGGAACCAATTGAAGAAAGCAATGCCTGCAAGTCTCTAACAGTGAAAGGCTAGATGAGACTTCAGTTTCAATGAATGCGGGCTTTTCCTTGCCTTTGTTCTGGTTGTAGGAGGATAAGGAACATTTTTCTCTTGTTTCTTTACCAAGTAGGTAAAGTAGGCCTCTCCACAATGTCAAAATAATCCAAAAAAGAAAGCAGGAGGAAGACCACGATTGCAAATGAAAGTTTCTTCGTGAGTGTGGCTTTCCTTGGCAAGCAGTGACTCCCTCCAGTGTTGATTGCAGGAGTCTCAAGTTGTATCTGGGCCGAGAGAGAAAGTGATGCCTCTTTTTCTTGATGAGTGAAGCCAATTAGTTGTGGGAGGGGATGGAGCCTGACATTAAACCAATGACTTTCCATTATTTTTTTAGGCAAGCACCCCTGAGCCTTCTAATTACAATTGCAGATTTTTTTTCCTGTTTTTTTCTGTATGGTCAAAATTTCTCTCTTGATTTAACATTCTGTTCCTTCTCTTTGCCCACAGAGAGCTGTCAGCTCTTACTCTTTTTTTCCTCCAGAGATCCCTTTTGGCCTTCATCCTTTGCACTGTTTTTGCAGTTAAATACCACATTTCCTTTTTATGCTCTGGGCTGTCTTTTAGCCCCGAGACTTCTAGATGAACAGAAACTTCATTCCAGAAAAATCTTTACTGTGAGTCTTGGTAGGGTCTAAATCAGTGCTTGGACTCCCTTAAAAACATTGAGGTGATTTTTTTTTTGTTTTGAGACAGCAGCCTTGCAATACATAAGACCGCTGTATTTGAGTGGTGAATTAACAATTCGCTTGTAAGCAGTAAGTCACTGATGTCAGCCAAAGCTTATTAAAAATGGATTTTATTAAGCGAGTGCTGTTGGGACACAGAGTGAAGCTTTTCCTAGCTTTGCAGAAGCACATACCAAAGTGAGCTTTGGCAGGTGGATTGGGAACAGGCAGAGGGGTACATACATACATACACTTGGCTTTTTTTCTGTTTCACACTCATATTTCTTTGTGCTACCAGGATCGTCAATGACAGCCTTATCTCTCAAATAAAGCCCGTTACCTCATCTCTAATTGCTTATCCAAAGGCAGGCGAGCTCTGATTTCTCTGCATTAATAAATGACACCGAAGAAGAACTGCTTTGTTTGCACTGGCCCGCTCAGGTTAACCAGTGTAAGCCCCTGAGAGCATTAGGAAACCTTGCACTTCTCCAGTGGCCAAGGAGAGGTGGCGTTCATCTCCATCAAGAGCAGTGTCTACTTGTTTACTTTTTGCTCATGTTTATAGCCCTGTTCTTTTCCCAGTGAAAACCCCTTAGTGACCTAGAGCAGCTTTTCTCTAGCTGTGTGTGCTCACTCCCTTCCTAGTTGAGAGTAGTGGTGGTTGTCCTGGGAAGAGGGGTGGCCTCCCTGATTTCAAGCCTCACTTTCTTGGCCGCCTGCTGCTCACCTTTCCTTAGAGGTCAGGAGGCTTTCCACAGACCTTGACGGTGATTCCTGTGCCGTATACCAGGCTGGAAGATAGCACCCCTGCTGCTTTGTGAAGCACCATGGGAAATGGTCATATGGGTTTCCTAAGTGAATATAAGGAGTGAAGGCGTGTGGGGGTCAGAGAATGGAGGATGGCTGGCAGATTCTGAAATAGTTCCATGACTGCCTGGTGAAACAGTATGGATGCCTCCCTCCTGGGAAACAGCCTCATCTATCTTGTTACCACCTAAGAATATCTCTGGTCATTTAAAGGGCCTGTAAATTTGAGTTATTTTCATATCTAAAAATTATAAACTTCTTTCTTTTTTTTTTCCCCTCAGAATGAAATGAATGATGTGCCTTTCTTTGATATCCAACTGCCTTACGAATTGGCAATCAATATATTTCAGTATCTGGACAGGAAAGAACTAGGAAGATGTGCACAGGTAAGGTGTCACCAACAGATGTTCCAGATTTTCCTAAATGTGTGATTAAGGTATAGGACTCTCCGGGGTAATAGAAATTTACTCACAGAATTATAAACTTTGCAGAATTAATGAATTGGATGGCAAGTTTACTTGAAGGAAAGCCACCTTGACCTTAGAGGATTATGTTCCACATCACTACTCGGTGTGTATCTTTCTGTGACCCAAGAGCTCTTTTCTCCCTGCAGTCTGAGTTATGGCTGACCTGTGGCAGTGTGCTGGTGGCCGACAACTTGGTGCTAAGCCTTTATTGAGCTTGTCTGTGCTGTTAATGCACTCACAGTTTTTAATGCAAAGATGTGAGCCCTTGGTTAAATCGAGCCTGTTATTAGGTTGGTAGCTGAGGGGGTCAGCACGAGGACAGAACATGTTTTAGGTGAAGTCATGTTTTAGGTGTATAGTCCAAATTACCCTTTAAACTTTAGGATCTCACTCAGTGAGGTGCAAGGCAGGTGAGAACTGAGACCCACCAAGGGAATTACAGATCAATGTCACCCGTCTCACACTTACTCTGGGGCATATGCCTGTGGAGTGGAATGGTGGGAGATATCATTTAGGCCAAACTGCATTGTGTTTAGGAATCATGGGGGAATCTTGATAAAATGCAGATTCAGATTCAGGAAGTCTGCGGTGGGGCCTGACAGTCAACTTTCTTTTTTTTTGAGATGGAGTTTTGCTCTGTCGCCCAGGCTGGAGTGCAGTGGGACGATCTTGGCTCACTGCAACCTCTGCCTCCCAGGCCCAAGCAGTTCTCCTGCCTCAGCCTCCCGAGTAGCTGGGACTGCGGGCATGTGCTGCCATGCCCAGCTAATTTTTGTATTTTTAGTAGAGATGGGATTTCACTGGCCAGCCTGGTCTCAAACTCCTGATCTCAGGTGATCTGCCCGCCTTGGCCTCTCAAAGTGCTGGGATTACAGGCATGAGCCACCGCGCCCGGCCCCATTGATGGTCTGCTTTCTAAGCAGGGGATGCCAGTGTGGCTTTGGCCACACTTTGAGAGAGGCAAAGGTTTATGCCATTAACATCGTTCTCTTGTTCTCGTCTTTTTGGCCAAGAGTGTGTGATTGATTTTTCTTTTCTTTTTTTGAGACAGAGTCTTGCTCTGTCACCGAGGCTGGAGTGCAGTGGCGCGATCTCGGCTTCCTGCAACCTCTGCCTCCTGGGTTCAAGCTATTCTCTTGCCTCAGCCACCCGCATAGCTGGGATTACAGGCTCATGCCACCACATGCAGCTAATTTTTGTATTTTTAGTAGAGACACGATTTTGTCATGTTGGCCAGGCTGGTCTTGAACTCCTGACCTCAAGTAATCCACCCACCTCAGCCTCCCAAAGTGCTGGGATTACAGGCATGAGCCACTGGGCCTGGACTGATTTTTCTTTTTTTAAAAATTTCATTTTATTTTTTTAAATGGACAAATAAAGTTATATATATGTATCAGGTATAACATGATTTTTGAAATATCTATGCATTGTGGAATGGCTCAGTTGAGGTAACTAACATGTATTACCTCACATACTTATTTTCTGTGGTGAGAACACTTAAAATCTATCTCTTAGTGATTTTCAAGTATACATCATTAACTGAAGTCACTGTGTTGTACAGTAGAGCTCTGAACTTATTTCTCTCATCTAACTGAAATTTTGTATCCTTTGACATCTTTCCAGTGTCCCATCCTGCCCCGCCAGCCACTGGTAACCGCCATTCTACTCTCTACTTCTATGAGCTCAACTTTTTTAGATTCTACATTTAAGTGAGATCATGCAATATTTGTCTTTCTGTGGCTGGCTTATTTCACTTAACATAATGCCCTCTAGGTTCATCCACCATGTTGTTGTAAATGACATGATTTCCTTCTTTTTTTTTCTAAAGGCTGAATAGTATTCCATTGTGTATACATGCCACATTATGTATCATTTATCTGTTGATTCTGTATCTTGGCTGTTGTGAATAATGTTGCAATGAGCCTGGCAGTACAGAGATCACTTTGACAAACTGATTTCACTTCCTTTGGATGTATACCCAGCAACCAGAATTGCTGAATCATATGGTAGTTATATTTTTAATATTCTAAGGAACCTGTTTCCTTAATGGCTGTGCTAATTTCCATTCCCACTAACAGTGTGCAAGGGTTCCCTTCTCTCCATGTCTTTGCCAGCACTTGTTTTGTCTTTTTGGTAATAGCCATTCTAACAGGTGTAGTTTAATTTGCATTTCTCTGATGATTAGTATTGTTGAGCATTTTTAAATATACCTATTGGCCATTTGTATGTCTTCTTTTGAGAAATGTCTATTCAGGTCCTTTGCTCATTTTTAAATTGGGTTTTTTGTCTTCTTGCTATTGAGTTGTTTGAGTTCCTTATGTAATATTTTGGATATTAACTGCTTATGAGATATATGGTTTGGAAATATTTTTTCTCTTTTATAGGTTGTCTCTGTATTCTGTTGATTGTTTCCTTTGCTGTACAAAAGCTTTTTAGTTTGATGTAATCCCATTTGTCTGTTTTTGTTGCCTGTTCTTTTGGGGTCATATCCAAAAAATCATTACCTATACCAGTGTCATGGAGTTTTTCCCCTAAGTTTCTTTCCCATAGTTTTACAGTTTCAAGTCTTATGTTTAAGATTTTAATCCGTTTTGAACTTATTTTTATTTTTTTTATTGAGACAGAGCCTCACTCTGTTGCCCAGGCTGGCATGCAGTGGTACAATCGTAGCTCACTGTAGCCTCAAACTTTTGGGCTCACGTGATTCTCCCACCTCAACCTCCCGAGTAGCTGGGACTATAGGCTCACGCCAACATGCCCAGCTAACTTTTAAATTTTTTGTAAGGACAGGGTCTTGCTTTGTTACCCAGGCTAGTCTCGAACTCCTGGCTTCAAGTAAGAGTTCACTTCTTTATAATAGTGTGAGATGGGATCTAATTTCATTCTTCTGTATGTGGATATCCAGTTCTCACAACACCATTTATTGGAGACTTTTTTCCCCATTGTGTGTTGTTAGCACCTTCATTGAAAATCAGTTGACTGTAAATGCACAGGCTTATTTCTGGGCTCTCAGTTCTGTTTTACTGGTCTATATATCTGTTTTTATGCCAGTGACATGCTGTGTACATTGCTATAGCTTTGTAGTATATTTTGAAATGAGGTATTGTGATGCCTCCAGCATTGTTCTTTTTGCTCAGGATTGCTTTGGCTATTTGCAGTGTTTTGTGTTTTTATGCAAATTTTATCTTTTTTTTTTCCTGTATCTGTGAAAATGTCTTTGGAATTTTTATAGAGATTGCATTTCACTCACTTTGAGTAGTATGGACATTTTGATAATATTCTTCCAATCCATGAACATGGAATATCTTTCTATTTATTTGTATCATCCGTTTTCTCCTTAGTGTTTTATAGTTTTCAGCATACTGGTCTTTAGCTTCCTTGGTTGAATTTGTTCCTAAGTATTTATTTTTGGTGTGGCTATTGTGAATGGGGTTATTTTCTTGATTTCTTTTACAGATAGCTTGTTGTTAGTATATAGAAACTCTACTGATTTTTGTATATTGATTTTGTACCCATAACTGAATTTGTTTATTAGTTTCTTGGTGGAGTATTTAGGGTTTCCTATGTTTATGTTTATATTGTCTGTAAACAGGAACAGATTAACTTCCTCCTTTCTGCTTGGATGCCTTTTATTTCTTTCTGTTGCCTAATTGCTGTGACTAAGACTTCTAGTACTATGTTGAATGGAAATGGTGAGAGTGTGCATCCTTGTCTTATTCCTGAAGAAAAGCTTTCAACTTTTTACTAAGTATGACTTTAGCTTTGGTTTTGTCACATGTGGCCTTTATTGTGTTAAAGTACATTTCTTCTATACCTCATTTATTAAGAGTTTTTATCATGAAAGGATCTTGAATTTTGTCAGATGCTTTTTCTGCACCTGAGGTGATCACATCGTTTTTCTCCTTCATTCTGTTAATGCATTGTATTACATTTATAGATTTCTGTTGATTTTTCGTAAGTTAAATGGGTGTATGATTGCTAACCATTTGGCCTTTGATGGACAACTGTATTCTCTAGGAGACACTGGAGTATCCATTCTCCATAACTGCCAAAAAATTAGTTTGTTTAATGGTTAGCATTTTCATCCCTGGATTCTATACTGCATTTTACACAGGTGTTTACAGCTTCAAGAGCAAGGGTTTGCAAAATTCACTGGTAGGAAAACTGAACATAAAATTCAAAGCACCAGCAAGACTATGAAGTTCAGCATATGAAGGCGGTTTGAGAGTGGTGAAAACTGTACCCAAATTTAGACTCTGGAGCTTGCTACCTCCATGGCAGTTCAGTGAAATCACACATGATACAGGACCATTTAGACAGTTTATGGTGTTCTACTCTTTCTTTTTCTTTGACGGAGTCTCGCTGTCACCAGGCTGGAGTGCAGTGGCGCGATCTCGGCTCACTGCAACCTCTGCCTCCCAGGTTCAAGCTATTCTCCTGCCTCAGCCTCCCAAGTAGCTGGGACTACAGGTGCGCCACCATGCCCAGCTAATTTTTGTATTTTTAGTAGAGACGGGGTTTCACCATGTTGGCCAGGATGGTCTCCATCTCTTGACCTCGTGATCCACCTGCCTCGGCCTCCCAAAGTGCTGGGATTACAGGCGTGAGCCACTGTGCCCAGCCGTTCTAATCTTTCTTTGTGAAGCATTTTGCTTAATCGTTTTTCTACTTGAATATGAATTTGAAAGAATTTTCAATATTCTTGATTATTGTTGTTAGTATTGCTTAAGTGGGGGCATTGGCAGATATTTTTTGATGCGGAGTGTGTGTCTTTAGGAAATGATGGAAATTATTTAAAGGCTAAAATTCACTTAAAAAAAATGTGCTGAAGTGTAAACTGTGCTCAGAGCCTATGAGTTGCATTAAGCATGAGTACCTATATTGTTTTCTTTCCCCTTGGAAATTTGATTTGTTATATTCTAACTTTACACATTGGCCTGCTCCCAAGAGTTGAAAACAAGAGTGTAGCTAAATGAGGCCAATTCCTGGATTTCAGCCTGATGCTGTTAGCCGAAGTCTTGGAACAGGGTCTAATAGCTAGCTGCTTTACACAAAGTCAGCATTAGATGATAAAATCTTCATTCTTGATAGCGAGCTGCTGTTTAAGAAATCATTTCTTTTAACATTGCTTTTTGCTCCCCTGCTTTGTAGAGAGCCATGTGGCTTTCACATCTGCTGCTGGTTTTCTCATCCAAAGAGTTTATCAGAGAAAGATAGAATCTAGTGGAAGAAGAGATCCCCTTTTGGTACAATGGGGCTGCATTACAGGGTAGATTGGTTATGCTGGTGATATTATTCTGCAGGTGTGAACAGTTTAATTTGCAACACAGTAGTCCAATTGTCCACCAGAATTCTTCCCTCTATGGCCAGTTGGATTTGGCTTTTTGTTGTTGTTGTTAACCCAGTTGTTAGAGCACATATATAAGAATAGAAAATATTCTTAAACAGAACCCCGTTAGCGTACAGTGACTAAGTTAGCTGTGATCTGTGAAGTCAGGAGTTTTATGGAGCTCTTACATGAGAATGACAATAGATGGCCAGTAGTTTGTAGAATTGGCTTTGTTTCATCAATCATTAAAATTAAAACCACAAAGTAATAAAAATAAGTAGCACTTTCATTTGTTTCTTGGGGTGTTTTTATTTTGAAACAGGGAGGAAATCCTTCTGTGGAATGTCCTGCTGCTTTATGATTTTATTTTAGAGGGGCTTGCTTTTTTTCTCTCTCTCCATCTCTCTTTTAATCTAGGTGCCTTGGGATTTTAGTGAAATTGGGCCAGTTATGTGGAATTGGCACCATGAACTAAATGTATGCCCTTGGAGAAAACCTGTTTGCTTAGATCTTTATGCCAAATTGGTAACTGACTAACAGTAAGAAACTCTGTTACTGGGAGGCCTTTGAGATTTAATTATCCCACAAACCATGCCGGAGACTGATTTTGCTTTGACTTTGCCTCCTTTCCATATCCCCTCCTCTTTTTTTTGCTTTTGAGGCTTTATGTTTTGAAAACTGAAGTCCTGCTACATTAGTTTGTGATCTGTGTGTACTTTTGATGCTGAGGTCTCCAGCTCCTTCCTTTCAATAGTTGTCCCTCGAGGGACTTAATCTCTCTGTGGGAGTGTTTCTTGCCGAAACATCTTGAAAACAGTGTAGCTTTTAGTAAGCAAAGTTACTTGTTGGACAGTTCATTGAACAGGTTTGTAATCTTGCTATTTATAATTTTATGTTCATCTTTTTTTGTGCCCACAGGATTCCTGGTATTTAAAGGAGACAATTTTTTAGTCGATAACAATGATACAGTTGTTGGTTTCAAAATTACAAATTGGTTTTTAGGAGAAAAGTAAGTCTGCCATTATATTACAGTGTGAATAATTCTGAGGAGTGATGGCTTTTAGGTATTTACCAATATTCATTTTTTAAACTTTAAAAATTATTATAAATTCATAGGAAGTTGCAAAAAATAGTACAGAGAGTTCCTGTGTACCCTTCCCCCAGTTTCCTCCATTGGTAATATCCCGCATAACTACAGAACAGTAGCAAACCAGGACCTGACATTGGCACAATTCACAAATCTTGTTGATGTCACTAGTTTTACATGCACTTATTTGTGAATCTATGGAACTTTACATGGATGTAGATTTGTGTGACCACCACCGCAGTCAACATGTAGAACATTCATCACGAGAATCTCTTGTGCTACTCTTTCACAGTCTTTGACGGCCACACTGGCCTCAAGTCCTTCCCCGACCCTTTCACCCCCAGCTCCATCTCTAACCCCTGGCAACCACTGATCTGTTCTCCAACTCCATAATTTTGTTTTCAGTTTTTTAATGTATATTTTAGTGCTTTGTATTTCCTAATATGTAATTTTAGGAATTTAGCTGCATAAGTAATGATGTCATGTTTATCAAGTAAAAGATAGAAAAACGTGCATAAACAAAGTAATAAAGAAAAAGAGGGAAGATGCAGAGGTTAAAAACTTGAAATTTATGATAATATTGGTGAGCAAGAAGTAGTTGACAGCAAAATAAATAAGTAATTCTAGAACCAAAGACCAGCATATTAGATTATGGTATTTCAAGTTTCAAGGAAAATGTGATTTTATGTCCATGTAGGAGAAACTAAAATCCAGGTGCTTATAGCTAAAGATCTATAATCTTAATGAAGTCTGTGTGAGTCAGGAATCCATAGCCAAGTGAGGCTGAATTGATTTTCCTGGCAAAAGTGATTCTGCAGACCTGTAGTTGCTGGCAGGGTTCCCTTAGTTCTTCACTTTCACCCTTGCCGCCAGACTTCTCTTATCAGGAAGTTCTGTGGAAGGTTCCTTGTATGCTCAAGACCCAAGTGCCCTCAGGAGTTCCTTTTAATTCATGTGATTGTTTTGGCTGCCTCCTTTAAGCACAAATTTAGGGAAAGGCAAAATCACTCTAAAAAACAGATTGGGAGCTAGATGAAACAAGAATGGCAAATGAACATTGAGCTAAGTGGTGGGTACTTTGGAGTTCTTTATATTGTTCACTTTACTCTTGTGTGTTTGAACTTTTCCACAATTAAAAAGTTTACTAGAAAAAAAAGCATAAAGCAAAATAATACATGTGAATAAGAAGGAGCCTACGGAGGGCAGCACATGCCAGGAGCTGAGCTGTGTCTATGACCTTTGAGAATTAAAAGCAATGCTAATTTTTAAAAAAAAGTTGGACTTACACTTTTATCTCATTTGGTTATTTATATAGAGCTGACTATGTATGTGCGAGGTACTGTTCTATATAGTGAAGACAGCTGAGAATAAAACATAAAAAACCAGCTTCTCAGAGAGCTTCCATTGTATATACAATAAAGACATGATTAAATAGAGTTATCAGATGGCAGTGAGTGCTATGGAGAAGAACAAGACAGTAGAGGTGATATGGGGGTTGCACTTTTGAGTGGCCAGGGAAGACTTTGCAGAGAAGGTGAGCTTTGAGCAAAGACCTGAAGGAGGGGTGAAGGACACTGTGCAGATCTCTGGCAGAGTGGAATAGCAAGGACGAAGGACTTGAGGCAGACACAGCTGAAGCTCATCTGAGGCAGGGTGCGCCTGTTGTGTTTGAAGAACAGCAGGAAGGTCCAAGTGGGTGGTTGTCGTACGCTGAATAATGGCCCTCCCAAATATGCTGACGTCCTAATCCCTGAATCCCACCAGTATGTTACCTTTCATGATAAAACGCCCTTTGCCGATGTGATTAGGTTAAGGATCTAGAGATGGGGTGATTATCTTGGATTATACAGGTGGGTCCAGTGCATTACAAGTCTTGTAAGAGGGAGGCAGGACGTCAGGGAGGAGAGAAGATGCTGTGTTGCTGGCCTTGAAGGTGGAGGAAGGGGCCACAAACCAAGGAATGTAGGTAGCTTGAAGCTGGAAAAGGTAAGAAAACTGTTTTCTTTCTGAAGCCTCCGGAAGGAATGCAGCCCTGCCCACACCTTGCTTTTACACTTCTGGTCTCCGGAACTATAAGCGAATAAATCTGTATTGTTTTAAGCAGCTAAGTTTGTAGTAGTTTGTTAGCGCAGCCATAGGAGACTGATACGGGGATGTGGTGAGCAGAAGGATAAGAGGAGGAGAGGACTCAGGATGTGATAAGCGTTTAATCCATTAAAAGAACTCGAAGTTTTGTGAATAAGATGGGAAGCCTTTGGAGTGCTTTGAGCAGAGGGGTGACAAGGGCTGCCCTACGTTTAAAAAGGGACCATTTGGGCTGCTGTGTGGAGAATCGGTTGTTGGGGGACAAGGACAGCAGCAAGGAGACCAGTTAGGAGGCCACTGAAGTAATCCAGAGAAGAGGATGTGGTGCTTGGGCCAGGATGGCACCAGCAGAAGTGGACAGAGTCAGGATTGTGGATGGGCTGGATGTGGGGACAGAAGGAAGAGAGTCAACAAGGGCTCCATGGTGTTTGCCTTGAGCAACTGGAGGAATGAGTTCACTGTTTACCGACAAGTAGCAGACCATGGAAGGAGCATGTGTGGGTATGGGGGAAGATCACTCATTGGTTGTGAGGTTGAGGATGAGCTCTTCGTTGAGCTCTGGGCTGAAGATGGAAATTTGGAAGCTGTCAGCCACATTGATGGTATTTAAGGCCAGGAGACAAATGAGAACATTAAGGAAGTGAATGTAAATAGAGGAGGGGTTCAGGGATGGAGCCCTGGTGCTCCACAAGGATTAGAGGCCGTGGACATGAGCAGGGCCAGGCAGAGGACCGGGAAGGAGTTCCCTGCCAGGCAGGAAGAAAACCCAGATGTGTCGTTCCTTGGGACCATGGGATAAATGTTTTCCAGGAGGAGAAAGTGATCAAAGGTGTTAAGCGCTGTTGTTCATCAAGTAAGAGGAGGACTGAGAAATGACCATTGGGTTTTGCAAGTTGGAGGTCACTGGTGACCTTGACCAGGGTCAGTGGTGTGTTGGGGGCAAAAGCTAGTGGCTCAGGAGCAAGTGGAGAGAGAGGAAACTGAGACAGTGAGTGCATAGAGAGCTGTCTCTATGTGGTGTGTCCTCCCACAGTAGACTTGATGTGTGAACCTGTGAAGGGAACAATGAGACTTCCCCTCTGTGAGCCTTACTGGTAACCCTAATCCAGGCAGAGCTAATAAAGCTCATTTTTGAGCCAACAGCTTTTTTTTTTTTAATGCTGCAATTCACAGTGGTGCTATAAAGCAAAATGCTGGAGACACTTTTATTAGCAAGTCCTTGCAGCTGAGGCTCACTCGGTGGGGCTTTACTGAGCAAGGCCATTCCAACTCTGGTGTATTAAAGAAAGACCATTAGGCCTTTGGAAAATTCAGGCTTGTAAACTTGCTAGATTTCATAAAACTTAAGGAATCAAAACAATTAACAAGATTTCCTCTTGGTGGGACCCTT
Organism: Homo sapiens; assembly: GCF_000001405.40. Taxonomy (NCBI): domain Eukaryota; kingdom Metazoa; phylum Chordata; class Mammalia; order Primates; family Hominidae; genus Homo; species Homo sapiens. The sequence goes on from NC_000012.12 coordinate 116,938,100, forward strand.
TAACATTTGCTTGTGAAAGTTTAACTAGGTCTTTTTCTTGTTGATTTTTTTTCCTTCAGAATTAAAAGTCATTTTTAAAACCTGTCATTTTTGTTCTCCTTTAAAAGAAGAAAGAAAAGCACCCTCCTTTTATAGTTTGCTAAAGAAATTGTTGACACATTTCTGTTTTTAATACCTAATTGTGGATACAATCCTGATCCCTTTTTGGAAGCAATTCTCACCTCTGCCTTTTTTAAGTCTCTCAAAGAGATTTTTTATTTGTTATCCAGGACTTAAACTTTAGCTTGAATATTATTTTCTACGGAATAAGCACTGTGACCCGGGGTTAGTGATGTGAATGATGCACCACAACATCAATTTTTTGGTCTCAGTTTTTCATCCTGTAACCCTGTTGTACAAATTTCAGATTGTGTTATTTAAAATGATTTGGCATTTTCCTTGAAACTGTTAGAAAAAGCTGCTTTCAGCTTCCAACATCTTTAAGGTCCGACATATTTGAGACTTCCTGAAAGTCCCATTGAAAAGTTTCCATTTTAAAGTGGTTGAGATTTGCACAGTCCTCATGAAAACTCATACAGAATGTTTAGTTTGAGATTTTCTAGTTTGTAATCATTGAGCACTGCCTTTGGATTTTCCTAAAGTGGGGATGATTCAGAGGCTCCATCCAACAAAACGAAGCTTGTAGCTCATTTTTGAACACATAATTTAAAAGATTGCTTCCCCTATTTGGGGCCAGTCTTGTGATCTAACCTGGGTGTAACGGCAGGGACCCCAGCATTTCCCTATAGCTTCCTCAGCCATGGAGAAGTAGCCCCAGTCTGGGTGCATCCATGGGATCTCTGTCACATGCCAAAGGTTTTGGTTTCATAGGTTGGGTGGGAAGTAGATGAGAACTGTGGGCCTGAGTGCCCAGTACATGGTTAGTGCCCAAAACATATCTTAACTGATTGACCGGTAACCCAAATCAGTGTTCTCTAAAGTGACTTCTGCAGAGCACTGGGCTTTTGAGATACTCGTTGCAAAAAGAAGTCAGGAACCAAATGAGTTTAGGAAATGCAGCTTCTTATACAGGTTGAACTTCCCAAATCCAAAAATCCCAAATCCCAAATGCTCCAAAATTAGAAACTTTTTCAGTGCTCATTGGAGCATTTTGGATTTTGGATTTGGGGATTTGGGAGACTCAGTCAGAATAATGCAAACGTCTGAAATCCAAAATACTCCTGGTTTTAAGCATTTTGGATAAGGGATACTCAACGTGTATCCCCTTCTTAGAGATGTGCAGCACATGCCACTGCTATTCAAAGCGCAAGTTCTGCAGCGAGGAATTCTGCTTCGTTTTGTTTAAAGCAGTGTTTCCTAAGCTCATTTGAGCGTGGAATCCTTTTCTAAGGAACTTATTAACACCTGGAGGTGTTGTTCTACTGAATATGCTTTTGGTCCATGTAATTAAAGAATGGCTACATTTATATGATCTCTTGATTACTCTTGAGTCTTTTTTGTTCGGTAGTTACATTTCATGACTTTTACAAAATGTTATGGTTTCTACAAAAAAGGCATATGTATGCCCAGGATCAGAGTAAAGCTGCCCTGTGTTTCCTGAGCACGTTCTGCCTTTGAGAACCTGTAAAGGTCTTTATATGTTACCTTTATCTTACACCTTATTTAACCCTGAATTCCAGGGCTCGGTTAGGGGACATACTCTGCTCTGGGACTACTCAGGTTGTGGCCTGGCTCACTCACAGCTGACATTGGTCTATCCCTATCTGTGCTTCATGATTGCCCAGTGCTCAGACACTCTGGCACAGACAGATAGACAGACAGCATCTGGGTGTCATGGGTAGGCTCAGCTGTGGACCAGACATGCCAAAAATAAAACCATGGTGTTCTGTCTAGTCAAACTGGAGCTCCAGCATTGCTGAGTCGTTATCCCGTTCTTTATTGCCTGACCACTTGTGATCAGATGAGAGCTTGTTTTCCTGAGCCCTTAAGGCTAAGATGGAGAAGTGTGGGATGACAGTGTGGTTAAGTGGATTTGTAACTGATGCTGTGGCCATGCCCAGGGTGGGCTGCTTAATGGATCCGTGTCAGCCTGGGGGGTGGGCTCCAGTGGTTTGCCACAGAGCTAGAGCCCTATCTTTAGCACCATCCTGGTTATCTTTTTTTTTTTTTAAATAATTAAGACACAAAGGCCCACAGACCATATTTTGCAGATGACTTATGGATGGGAGAAGTGGCTAATGCAATGGATGACAGAATTGGGATTCAGAGATTATCTGGGGGAGGCTAAAATGCTGGGGGGTGGGGCAGACGTTGAGGTGGGGATTAAAATCGATCAAAAGTTTACAAAGTTAAGAATTTAGGTATAAAAAATAGTGTGGTGGAAGGATGGTGGGCTTTTTTTTTTTTTCCTTCCAGTTTGTGTTTAAAAAAAAAAACCCTGAAGAATCATGAGGACCAAATTGGGGTTACTGTTGCGAGGAAGAGAATGTGAACGGTGAGAGATACTCAGGAGTTTTAAGCTGATTAGCAATCTTTTCTTTTGTCTGCAGGGTGGCGAGTTCACAGGTGTTTGTAATATTCTTTATACCTTTTCATTTCCCTTAAATATTTAATAAATTAAACAGACTGCAGGAGCTTTAGTGGACCATTAGTTGAGTAGCCATGTTGATGGCTACAAGTAAAGCAGAAAACCAGTGTCTGATAAGATCCTTCTGTGCATGGGACTGCACAGCCCATATTTGAGGTGTTATTGAGTCTTGAGTACCACATTTGAAGAGGGACACTTTAGATGTACAAATGTTTTAGGGTGCATTGAGAGAGTGTCAGAATGGAAACTATATGAAAAATAGTGGAAGGAAATGGATAATATTTAGAGCAATGAAGAAATGACTAAGGGGAAATATGATCGCTGTCTTCAGCTATTTGAGGGACTGTCAGGTGGAAGAGCAAATAGATTTCTTCAAAAGGGCAAAATCAGGGCCATAGGTAGAATGAGTTTTCTAGACAGTGGAAGGAAGCCCTTTCTAACATTCAGACTGCCTGTTGTTAGATCAGACTGATGGGGGAGGTCAGCTCTCCACTGGAAGCATTGCAGGATTGCCTGGGCCCCATTGGCCAGGGATGCAGTGGGGTGCCTTCTTGCAATGAGGAGATACACCTAGTTGATCTCCAAGGCCCCTCTTGATTCTTCAGGTTCTAAACCACTGGAGACTGAGACAGCGTGACACTCTCAGCATTAGAGTGTGACACTTAGATTCAGAAAAATGACAGCTTTGTCACTTATTTATGCCACGTGATCTAACTTCGGATGCTGTGAATTCCATGCGAAGTGTCCATGCCTGTAGGGAAAGTGACTGAGGTGATGTGACTGCTTATCACACATGGAGCTTGTGTGCACACATATATAGCAGAAGCATAATTAAGGAGGCCAAAACTTTAATGTGTCGTCAGTGTTAGGTTGGTCAGTATTGCTTTGATATGCTTTTGGTTGAATAAGGTATTGTAATGATTATTTTTGGTATAGTTTGCTTGAGATAGAAAGTCAGATTTTGACACCAAGATAAACTGAGTTCTTAGATTCCCACTAATTTTACTTTGTAACTTTTAGCCTCTTTCTGTGTGACTTATGTCTTTTTTATACCTCTGTCCCTTCATCACTGCCTTCTTTTGTGTTAAATAGATATTGTCTAGTATGCTATTTAAATTTCTTTACTCTGTTTTTTGAGTTATTTTCTTAGTTGTTGCCTAGGGATCACAGTGAACATCTTAGTTTAAAATAATCTAGTTTGGATTAATACCCACCTAATTCCAGTAGTGCACCAAAAACTCTGCTCTGAGATAACTTCATTTGGTGTATGTTGGTACACTTGGGTCATATCCCACAGGCCTCTGAGGCTCTGTTCATTTTATTCATTTTTTTGGTTTTGCTTTGTTGTTTTTGTTTTTTAGAGATGAGATTTCACTATGTCACCTAGTCTGGAGTGCAATGGTGCAATAATAGCTCACTGCAGCCTTGAACTACTGGACTGAAGCAATCCTCCTGCCTCAGTCTCACAAGTAGCTGGGACTACAGGCACACACCATCACATCTGGCTAATTTTTTTTTTTTTTGTAGAGATGGGGTCTCACTGTTCATCAGTGTGGCCTCAACTCATTGAGCAATCCTCCTGCCTCGGCCTCCAAAGGTGCTAGGATTACAGACTCTTTTTTTTCCTTTATTCTTTTTTTTCCCCCATAGAGTAGATAATCTCAATTGACTTGCTTTAAGTTTCCTGATTTTTTTTTTTTTTTTCCGAGACAGAGTCTTGCGCTGTTGCCCAGGCTGGAGTGCAATGGCGTGATCTTGGCTCACTGCCACCTCTGCCTCCTGGGTTCAAGTGATTCTCCTGCCTCAGCCTCCCGAGTAGCTGGGATTACAGGTGCACGCCACCATGTCCAGCTAGTTTTTTATATTTTTAGTCGAGATGGGGTTTCACCATGTTGGCCAGGCTGGTCTTGAACTTCTGACCTCGTGATCCACCTGCCTCAGCTTCCCAAAGTGCAGGGATTACAGGCGTGAGCCACTGCGCCTGGCCAAATTTGCTGATTTTTCTTCCAGCTCAAACTTGTTGTTGAGCGCCTTTAGGGAATTTTTTATTTCAGTTCCTGTACTTTTTAACTCCAGAGCTTCTATTTTTTTTTTTTTTTTTTTTTTTTTGAGACGGGGTCTCACTCTGTTGCCCAGGCCAGAGTGCAGTGGTGTGATCTCGGCTCACTGCAACCTCTGCCTCCCGGGTTCAAATGATTTTCCTGCATCAGCCTCCTGAGTAGCTGGGACTACAGGTGCGTGCCACCATGCCTGGATAATTTTTTGTATTTTTAGTAGAGATGGGGTTTCATCGTGTTAACCAGGATGGTCTGAATCTCCTGACCTGGTGATCTACCCACCTCAGCCTCCCTAGTTTTTTAACAGATAATTTCTATCTCTTTATCATTATCTTCTATATGGTAAGACATTGTTCTTCTACTTTCTTTTATTTCTTTAGACATGCTTTCTTTTAGTATTTTGAACATATTTGAAATAGCTGATTTAAAGTCTCTGTTTAGTAAGTCCAGCTTCTGGACTTTCTCAGGGTTAGCTTCTGTTGACTGCCTTTTCCCCTGTGTATGGGCCCTGCTTCCTTGTTTCTTTGCATGCTTTTGTAATTTTGTTAAAAACTGGACATTTTAAATAATGGAAACTCTGGAAATAGAATCTTTCTCCCTCTTCAGAATTTGCTGTTATTGCTATTGTTATTTTTGTTGTTGCTGCTGTTTGTTTAGTGACTTTTCTGGAATAATTCTCTAATTTGTATTATTTGTCATGTGCACCTCCTGAAGTCTCTGCTTGGCTAGCTTAGTGGTTAGCTAGTTATCAAATGGAGATTTCCTTAAATCCACTGAACCAGTAAGTCTCCCAGCCTTTGCTGAGGTGCTCTCTGTATATTGGGGTACTGCTTCACCATTCTAGCAGCTTACAGCTCTGCCTTAGCCTTCACTTCCTGCTTGTGCAGAGCCTCAGGGTCAGCCAGAGGGGAGAGGTTAGGGCCTTCTCTGGTCTTTCCTGGGCACACACATAGCCCTATACATTCACGTGGCATTCCAGACTCCCAGGAATATATTGGAGCCTTTCAGAGCCTCCTATGGACATCCCATTTCCAAGCTTTTTCTTTCAAGCTTTTTGGTCAGCCTCTAACAGCCCCAGCTAGCAGTGCCTCCTCAGGCAGCTGTAGAGTTAAGCAGTTGCCACTTACTATTTTGGGTAAATGCCCTGGAGATAGGACAGAGACAGTGCTCAGCCAGCTCAGATAAAGACAAGCCTTGAGAATAGAGCTTTCTGGCAAGCTGCCAGCCAGGTCAAATGGTGACAGTTCTCTGGGGATTTGATTTTTGGGGACCTCTAAACTTGTCTGGCCTCTCTAATGGCTGCTAGGCTGCCGGTTTTTACAGCTGCTATCTTCACGAGGTTGTTGATTTTTAAGGCAATCCTGGAGCTGGAAGAGGAAACAGAATTAGCACACATTAAAACAACTTAGACGTCACTGTTCTTACTGAGATTTAGCCACTTTTCTTGGATAAATGTTCCTCAGAATGTTGCAATCCTTTTGTTAATTTCCAGACTCCGAAAAAGTTGATCGATCATTTTTGGTGGAATTCTTACTGCTGTTATGGAGGAGCAGGTCTTTGGAGGTCTTTAATCTGCCATCCTGCAAACTAACTCTCTGTCAGTGCTTTATCAGCTGAGGCCCTTTGTGCAGTAAGAATCTGGTCTCCTACTTTCTCTCATTTTCCTTCTTTCCGTCTCTGTCTTTGAGTCTTGAAGTGGCCCTAAGGGAGTGTTAAAGAGTACAGGGTACTGTAACCTACCCGCTACCACTCTTCATTAGAAGTGAGACTCAACTTTTGGATGGATGGCAAGCATCAGGCACTTGATCCTGCATTCCCAGAATGCTGTGCAGACCGGGATCACGCTGATCTGCTCGATCAGTTTCTCATCTGCCAACAGAGTCCATCTTTTGCAGTCTGGCCAACTTTGCACATGATCCTGTGATTAAGTAAACCTTTTGTTCCCCTAAATTAGTGTTGGAAAACAAAATGCTAATAGTTAAAATGGCCATTTCCTCTGGATACTGTTGGGATTTGAAAGTCAGGCCAGACATAACATTAATTTTTCTAGATCTAATCTTACAGTCCTGGATAATGGCTTGAGTTTTCTGTTAATTAAATATATACATATGTTTAAAATCTAAATTCTCACATGCAATTTAAATTTGAATTTTTTACCTGACCAGATGTTTGGGTTATAGGTAATTTTATGACAGCCTTTGATTTTGGAGGCCATCAATCTTCAATTCTGTAAGGTGGAAATACAAATGCTTTTTGTCAAAAGTAAAGAGATTCCATTCTGAAAAGCTCTGTATGATTGTATAGCTAATTACCATGTAAAAGTTTATATTTTTTGCATTTTATGTATTTGTGTATTTTCTTCTCTTATTTGTTAGATTACAATATAACCAAGTAGTCTAAAATGTGATATTACATGGTGGTACAACAATTTTGAAATCTTGAAAGATAAAACTGGAAACATTTGCTTGTATTTTTTTTTCCACCTCATAGTGTTTTGTTAATGAGACATTTTATACTGCCATAAACCCAGGGCAATAATATAGGTGTTGATTGATTTTTGGATGACAAGGGGCTTCTCTAATTGCAGAATTTGACATTTGTGTCACTTCTGCTGTTTTAGGTGAGCAAGACGTGGAAGGTGATTGCAGAGGATGAGGTGCTGTGGTACAGGCTGTGCCAGCAGGAAGGGCACCTTCCGGATAGCAGCATCTCTGACTATTCTTGCTGGAAGCTCATCTTCCAAGAGTGCCGAGCCAAGGAACACATGTTACGAACCAACTGGAAGGTGGGCAGTGGCCAATATCATTACCTGTGAAAGAATAGCCTGCAAGGACATGGGAATCCAAGCTTTCACTCATAGCCTGAGATTAATTGCCAACAGCGAAGGGAGAGGGGTACACTGAGCCTCCCCTTCAGCTGTTGGTGACTTGTTGCCCATTTTGTTCACCATTAGATGATCTGCCTCTGTTTTCAGCCTCAAGATTTGGGAACATCCTCTTATTCTGCAGGAGAGGAAGGGTGAGATTGGGTTGCCAGCCACTTCCTCTCGGATTGTTAGGGTGGTCAGAGGAGTGCTCTGTGCAGCCCCTTTGACTTTCACCGACTCTCTGGAGGGACCCAGAAAGCAAAAGCACTACCTGCATACAAAAGAGGAGCTGAAAATGTCATTTCTAGTAAATGTAAGAGGGAGATGATTAAACATCTCTAAGCACTGTCTTCTCTTCCCTCACATAACCTATTGGCGTGCTTCCATAACATTTATCACTTCAAAGTCTCTACGGAAATATTAGATCACAGCTAAGAATTTGCACAGTGAAGTGTTTCCATAGGAGATAACTGTCAAGAGCCGTGTTACATAAAGCTGTTTGAGGCATGACGAGACAGCAGTGTGGTGGCAGTGTTTCTTTCTCACCTGGGAGGCTGGAGATTCAATGGTAGAGAAGGGATGGAACCATTCTCTTTACTCCCATAAAGGTCAATCCTAATAGACTTTGAGATTAACAAGCTTTTGTGCATTACTGATAATGACAAATTGCCTATGTGCCTGTCTGTCCCTACTCACCTCCTAACCTGATTAGTGACCAATACGCTTGATCTGGGCAACCTCACACGGTTTCTAGCAAAGTCAATAAGAGCAGTGTCTCTCTAGTTCAGGGGTTCTCAACCCCAGCACTAGTGACATTTGGGGCCAGCTAATTCGTTTTGTGCGGGGCTGTCCTGTGCATTGCAGGCTGTTGAGCAGTATCTCTGGCCTCTCCCCATTAGACGCCAGTAGCATTCTCTTCCTCCCCCAAGTCATGACAACTAGAAATGCCCCTAGACATTGCTGGATGTCCCCTGGGAATCAAAATCCCCTCCCAGTCGAGAACCACTGTTCTGAGAGTTAGTGTGGCTATCCTTTCTTAGGCTGTTAAGACACCACCACTAAGACAGGTCACGCTGGCCCCACAGTGCCCTTTTCCATCCACCTACGGTAATAAACTCGTCTGGAGGGAGCCCCCAGTCCCTCTTGCCCGTGTGCCTGGGTAGGTCCATGTGATGCACACAGGCAGAAAGGTATGACAAAGAAAGCTGCCCAGATAAACAAGGGGTCAGAAAGCAGAGGGTCTAACCCTGGTGGGAGGGGCTGCGATTTAAGGAAAGCTTGAGAGCTGAATGTTAACGGGGTCCTTTCTCTCCAGAAAGGAGAGATACTTTTGAGATTTACAAGCAGGAGAGTTGGAGATATTTGGCATCCCCAGGCTTGAATTCGAAGATGTCAGACCGTGGTAGAGAAAAGCAGCAGCTGTGTTTTTTGCTTCCTCTTTGGTGATAGAGAAAGCAAGGGAAGAGGACAGGTATGTCCTTGTTGGGCCTGGAGGTGGCAGAAGTGACGATATTTTAAAGACCCATCACCTAGCATTTGGCACTTAGTAACACTTTACAAGTTATATACAATCTAGCTGAATGTCTATTTAGTATTTATTTCTAATGAACAGGAAGTCATGTGTTAGGTAAGTACTCACTACATGGCTGTTGATTGAGTGAACTGGAGCGGACTGCAGGCTGAACCAAACATGAGGGAGACTTCTATTTGGAGCGTGTAAGGTCCATTTCCTGACAGTGTTAACAAGGAGAATTCTAGGAGTGAAATTTTAAATGATGTATCTTTCATTAAATGTAATGGTGGGATTCTTACCAAAATTCTGGAATGAAAGAAAGCCTTATCAAAACATGAAAGGCGGCCCGGCACCGTGGGTCACTCCTGTAATCCCAGCACTTTGGGAGGCTGAGGCGGATGGATCACTTGAGGTTAGGAGTTCCATGGCCAATATGGTGAAACCCCATCTCTACTAAAAATACGAAAATTAGCCGGGCGTGGTGGCACACACCTGTAGTCCCAGCTACTGGGAGGCTGAGATTGGAGAATCGCCTGAACCCTGGAGGTGGAGGTTGCAGTGAGCCAAGATTGCGCCATTGCACTCCAGCCTGGGCGACAGAGCGAGACTGTCTCAAAAAAAAAAAAAAAAAAGAAAAGAAAGAAAGAAATGAAAGGCAGTGTTGGGGCAAGTTGCTTTACTTTTGTCTGCCTCCATTTTCTCATCTCTAGAGTAGGGGCTAGGAGTGGCACTGCTCATGGCGTCATGGTGAGGATGATCGTCATCAAGTGTCTGCCACTCCTGCAGAGCCTGGTCCACGCTCAGTGCTCAGGCGAGGTTGGCTGTAGGAGAGCATAGGCCTCTGCACACAGATGCAGGGTTCTGTGCTGTGCGTGCTCGACTTCAGGATGGGTTAGGCAGGCGATTTGGTTTGGTACCTCTTAAGTCAGTGTCTGGGGAGACCCTAGAAGGGACCCCAGGGTTCTCAGGTACCTCCACAAAGAGAATGGCCTGCAAATGCATGAAGTTATCTGGAATTGCATTTCAGAGCCAACCTGGAAATGATTTGCTAAACTAATTGTGGTGGCCATAGTGTTTTTTTTCCTAGTGTTTGCATAAATGCAGGTTTTCATCTTAGGCCCTCTATTTTTCTTTCAATACTTTTTCCCTCACAAGAGATTTTCTGTTATTGTAACCTTGGTTGCGGCCTTCACACAGCTGACTCCCAGATCCTTGCCTTCCCTCCCCATATCTCCACTTGTAGGACAGCTCCACGTGGATGTGTCTAGTTTTATCTCTCAGCCTTAGACTCATTCCTTGGATTAAGTTAAGACCATCATGCAAATTACTTTGCTCAGTTTCTAGAGTCTAGGTACTTAATAAATGTGTATTTTAATGGAATGATGTCATCTTTTTCCTAATAATAGAAATAATAATAATAATGGCTACCACTTATTGAACACTTGCTGTATGTTAAGAACTGTGCTGGGCACTTACACTGTTTCTAGTCTTTGTCCCAGTCTGGTAAAGTTGAAATTATGGTATTCTTGAATACCTTTATTCATGCTTGCTTTGTGGCCTATCTCACTTTTCCCAACCTCCCACATGTAAATACTTTATGTGCATTCAGATTCCCTTCATTTTAATTCAATTTAATTTTTTATTTTTTTAGAGATAGGTTCTCACTCTCTTGCCCAGGCTGAAGTACAGTGTTGCAATCATAACTCACTGTAGCCTTAAGTTCCTGGACTCAAGTGATCCTCCTGCCTCATCCTCTCAAATAGTTGGGACTACAGGTGCATGCCACCACACCTGACTGTCTTTTAAATTTTTTGCAGAGATGGGGTCTCCCTGTGTTGCACAGGCTGGTCTCAAAACTTCTGAGCTCAAGTGATCTTCCTGCCTCTGCCTCCCAAAGTGCTGGGATTACAGGCATGAGCCACTGTGCCTGGCCTAGACTGTCATTCAAATACCATTTCCATGAAACCTCTGGCCTCTCAGTTAGAAATAGTATCATCTCATCTCCTTTTCCTCATCCTGATCTTTATCTATTTGTATATAATTTTGCATTTTATTCTGAGAGTCCTTATAAGAATTAACAGGTAAGGTATCATGTAATACTTTCTTTTTGCTGAACGGAACTTTTTCACATACTTTATAAGTTTCTTTAGATACTTGCCACTCCCAGCAGATACATGCCAGCCTATTGTGGATGGTAGTTATTGGTGAGCACATATTTGCTTTCTATTCTGTAACCTCCTGGAGGATGGGGCAATGTCTCACACGTCCTGTGTCCTCGAGTTCAGTGCCTTTGGGATATATGGTAACTCGCCCATGCTTAACAGCTTAGCATGTTAGTCATCATCTTTGTCTTTTTGAATGCCCATGGAACTTTGAATGCACTTGTTGTCCATGCTGTAGAGAATTGCTGTGGAAAGTAGGTGAAAAAGCACGATGCTTGGCTTTCGGGCTGTCCCGAGAGCAGTCTAAACTGCATCCCCCTTTTCCTCACGCAGAATCGCAAAGGTGCCGTGAGCGAGCTGGAGCATGTTCCTGACACAGTTTTGTGTGATGTGCATTCTCACGATGGTGTGGTCATTGCGGGGTAAGCCAAACCGTTTCCACTGAGTGCTCTGCATCTGAAGGTCTTTCATTTTTCTCATACCACCCTCTGAGTACCAGTGACCTTAGCTTCCTTTGAGAGCATGTACCTCCCTCAGTTACAGCCCATGTGGAAGAGGGAGAGTCTCCGTGATTCTGTTCCCAAGGACGTGAGAGCGCGCAGCAAGGGTGAGAAGCACATGGTGTAGAGCGGATCTGTGATCCATTTGTCTCAATATGTCTTTCCCAGCTTTTAAATCACTCTTGTGGCATGTTATGTGAGATTTTCATTAAGGCAAACAGTTTGTATTTTATGAAGACATAAAAAAGTCAAGCAAAGATAATAAGTGTTGGCACAGACAGGCCCTGTTCTCATTCTCTTTTTCTAAATCCCTTATTGTGAAGAAGGGCTTTGGCCACACATAATCTTCCTTCCCCACCATATAGTACCTATTTGTTACTTAAGTTGTCCTGACATTGTTTTTTTTTTTCTCCATGGCCAACACATTTAATTTTAGCTTCTGTAAATTCCTTCAGCTTCTGTCCCAAAAACCACTTTGATGAAGTCTTCCTACTTTGTTACAGAGGTACATTTATATATTTATTTACTCTACAATAAGATCAGTTTTCTTTTTGGATTAGGAAGATGTCATGAACTACAGCCTCAGACTGTATACTTAATGCCATAAAGTAGAAAGCAGAACACTTAAATTTCTTAGTTTGGATCAGCTATGGAGTGAGACGCCTTAGGGAACTTCCTGCCTATGGGAAAATAAAACAAACCTTGGACTTTAAAACTCAGTAGTAGAGGAGTCCTTTTCTTTAAAGAAAAATCTTTCTTTAAGCAGCATTCCTTAAAGAGCACCTTTTGAATAGAAATTCCACACAGTCGGATTATTTTAATATTTTGTGGCATGCAGTGCCTATGAAAAAAAGTATTTCTGCTTTAAACAAGATGTACCCAGGAGGCAGGCTTTTCTTCAGTTTCTGTTTCACTGGCTATGATTTAGAGGTGAAAGCCCTTCTTGGGAGTGCTGCAGAACTAGTTTTAGAAAGGTTGATGGTCCAGATACTTGCGATTCTGTCCATTAAGTTATCGATGCTCGTTGCTAAAATGTGGGCCTGCGATCAACTGATATGCAGCTCCTTTCTACCCACGGATGCTACAGTTTGGTGTGAACTCCGGAAGGTACTTAGATCATTCCAGCTTAAAGGGATCTCTGCCTAGAGTGTCAGAAGACACTTGAGGACAGAAGGCTGAGACTGGACTGAAAGAGTCGCAAAAGAACTTAAAAATAAAGGAGAGCCTTGACTCTCAAAGCCAATTATGAATTTCTTCTCTGGAGCTCCCGAAGGGCAGGCCCCCTACGAGTCCAGATGCCAGTCCTTCTCTCTCTGCCTCTCTGTTCCCTCGGGGTCTGTTCAACATTACAGATTATGCCAGCACAGAGCACGATGGCCACGTTCTGTGGATCGATAGGATGAAACTTGATCTGTGGGTCGAGAGGCTCCTGGTGGCTCCTCTTTCTAAGAAAACCTTACGTTGATGGCTTAGCATGAGAGACTTCAGTCTTGCTTGTATGTAGAGCATCTTGTGTTTATCATTAAAATTTTATCTGGTGGTTACGATGCTTGTTTTCTGGGTCAGATCTTGAATCCCTTTTCATTTGAGACAGCGGTGTTTGTGGTTACCTCATTCCCAATCAATGTTGAATTCACCAGGCTTTCTACAGTTATGTATCTCCAAGGAGCTTCTTAAAGAGACAGTGGCCAACTCACCCCTTCTTTCTCTTGTACTTACCTCGTGTTTCTCTTATTCTTCTTTTTTCCTTCCCTTTTCTCTTTCTTTTGCACAAGTGGAGTCTGTTCAGAGGCTTAGTTTTATGTACCTAGAGCTAAACTATGAAGCATTTTTGCATTTACACCTATTAAGTACATTTCACATCATTGATGGAGAGCAGAATCTCTTCTTCTCACCTTTTCAGCTCTCTATGTAAATATTCCTAGTTTGGGGCCATGCTGCATAGGCCCAGACTGATATTTATTGCAGTGAACCTCATGATGGACCCAGTCATGGTTCTTCCCTACTCTCCTTTTCACATAAAACCAGTGAAATCTGAAAATAGTCACTCGTTGATAAACGCATTTGACACTCAAATACCCATCATGTGAACAGGACCTGGTGCCTGTCTCCCTGAGGCTTGTTTTTCCAGTGGGGAAACATTCTTTCCAAAGCATTTGATTGTTCACTCTTTTGTCCGTGAGTCTTTGCTTACTCTACAGTCTTACAAATAATTTCTAGTTAACTTTTCCTGACATTCAAAGCTCTTTGACATTTCTTTCCAAGCTACCTTTTTCCTTATTACACTTTTCAAGTGTACCTTTGTTTTTTCCACACTGTTCTATTTAGTTACCTCTGACTGCATCATTTTTTTAGTTAAGATACAGTCATATGCTGCATAACAGCGTTTTAGTCAATGATGGGCCCCATATATGACATTGGCCATTCATGTACCCTAGGTGTATAGTAGGCTCTGCCACCTGGGTTTGTGTAAGAACACTCTGTGATGTTTGCACAAATGATAAATTCACCAAAGGATGCATTTTTCTGAGTGTAACCCTGTCGTTTAGTGACACGACTGTATAATTCATATGCCATAAAATTCACTCTTTCAAAGTGTACAATTCAGTGATTTTTTCTTAGTAGATTTACAAGGTTGTGCAACCAACACCACTATCTAATTCCAGAACATTTTCATCAACTGGAAACCCAGAACCCATTCTTTAAGGCCTACTCCAGTCCTGTCTCCTCCCAGAGATTTCTCTAGCACTGTAGCCTAGCGTCCATTCTTCTCGGAACTCCTAGAGACGGGACCATCTACAGCTGACAGGGCAACTCATCGTGTGGCCTTGCTGTTTCACTGAAACATTTTTTGTTTTATATTATTATTTTACTTAGAAATAATATTTAACTTTACAGCCATCTACTGTATTTTCTTTCCAGCAATTTGTAAGCATCTTTTTAAAATTTACATTTAAATTTTTATTGTTTTGAGACACAGTCTCACTCTGTCGCCCAGGCTGGAGTGCAGTGGTGTGATCTCAGCTCACTGCAACCTCCACCTCCCAGGTTCAAGCGATTCTCCTGCTTCAGCCTCCCGAGTAGCTGGGACTACGGGCGTGTGCCACCACACCCAGCTAATTTTTGTATTTTTAGTAGAGATGGGGTTTCACCATGTTGGCCAGGCTGGTCTCAAACCCCTGGCTTCAAGAAATCAGCCCACCTCAGCCTCCCAAAGTGCTGGGATTACAGGCGTGAGCCACTGCACCCGGCCTGTAAGCATCTTTTAAAACCATGAGTGGTATGTAATATTTTGTTAAATGTATACTGTTTTATATGGAGTAAGCATTAAAACTTAATACACAGACTCCCCTTGTCCCCTGCCACCTATATATGATGTTATATGGGAAACTAGAGAAATGCCTATGTCTGTTCTCTACTTTCTTAGTTTTCTCAGTTTAGAATCATACATTTTTAAACCTGGAAGGAACTTTAGAGATGATGCGTTCCAAGACCCTCATCTTGCTTGAGGTGGCAGAGGCTCAGGGCCAGGCTGGGTGTGCGTGAGTGGAGCCGCTCCGCTGTGTTTCTGCAGCATCCACAGGCAGGGCTGGCTGGTGAGGCTGCCGTTTCCAGCCCTCATTTGCTGCTCTGAAGCTTTGGCTATTATAGCATCATTTTGGTTTTTCTTTTGTGGCATGTGTCTATTTAAAAACAAAAGCAGCCGGCTGGGCGCGGTGGCTCACGCCTGTAATCCCAGCACTTTGGGAGGCCGAGGCGGGCGGATCACAAGGTCAGGAGATCGAGACCATCCTGGCTAACACGGTGAAACCCTGTCTCCACTAAAAAATACAAAAAAATTATCCGGGCATGGTGGCGAGTGCCTGTAGTCCCAGCTACTCAGGAGGCTGAGGCAGGAGAATGGCGTGAACCCAGGAGGTGGAGCTTGCAGTGAGCCAAGATCGCGCCACTGCACTCCAGCCTGGGCGACAGAGCAAGACTCCATCTCAAAAAAAAAAGACAAAAAAACAAAACAAAACAAACAAACAAAAAACAAGAAAAACAAAACCAGCCGGGCATGGTGGCTCACGCCTGTAATCCCAGCACTTTGGGAGGCCTAGGCGGGCAGATCATGAGGTCAGGAGTTCAAGACCAGCCTGGCCAACATGGTGAAACCCCATCTCTACTAAAAATACAAAAATTAGCTGGGCGTGGTGGCGGGCACCTGTAATCCTAGCTACTTGGGAGGCTGAGGCAGGAGAATTATTTGAACCTGGGAGGCAGAGGTTGCAGTGAGCTGAGATCGCACCATTGCATTCCAGCCTGGGCGACAGGGCGACTCTGTCTCAAAAAAAAAAAAAAAAAAAAAAAGAAAAAGCAGTGGTAAAAACCATGTTGTTTTGCAACCGTGTTAGAAAGTAGAGAAGAGAAAGCCACTCAAATTCTAGCATGGAACACAACCTTTATTAAGGTCTCCCATGTGTCTGGTTTGGTTTTCAGTCTGTTTTTCTATGCATGTTTTTTCATAGTGTGACTGTAGCCTTTGTTAGATTTGTGGCCTTTTCCCTCACCAAACTGATGAATTTTTTTCATGTTGCATATTTTTCATTACTTTCTTTGACTTGTTGCAAAAACACTTTGGATAATTATACCCCAATTTCCCTATTTATTCCCCTAATAGTGGACATTAAGGTCATTTCCTGTGTTTTGTTATATGTATGTTATGAATATTTTATGTATAGATGTCTGCAAATTTTTCTCCTTTTTAGCATTACAAATCTTTATTTTAAAATGATTAGACACATGCTACTGTAGAAACTTGAAATTCTATATAAGTATATAAAATAAAGAGTTAAAGTTCTCTCATTATCGTCTCCTAGTCTTGCAATCCTGATTGTTTTCCTAGGCTAGAGTCCTGTAAGCAGAATTACTGGATTTAGGGGAATGAATTTTTATTTTCCAGATTAATAAATTATTTAAAAGTGCTTTTGTAGCCCTCAGCTTCTTTGCAATCTAACCTTTTGACTTGAAGTCTCCAAACCATCCCTGCCATCTTCCTGTTAGTGCTGTACATAGTGAGAGCCCGTGCCTCCTGCCCCTCTTCCTTCCTCCCCGTCTAACCTCCCTCCAGCTGGCTCCATCCCAGCCCCACTGTGCTGCACTCTCAGAGGTCACCCGTGATCTTTTGGTCAACAAACCAATAGCCTTTTCTTGGCTCGTCCTCTCCAGCCTCTTGGCAACATTTGGTGCTGTTGACTTTCCCCTCTTGAAATGGGGGGGGGGGGCCCTGTATTAAGCATCTGTATGCCCTCAGAGTCTAACATCTTTCCCAGGACCCAGGAAACTTTGAGCCAAGTGTGTAAGAAAGGAAAACTCCCCTTCGGCGATTCCACACTCTCTGGACTTCCATTACCTCCGTGAGCGCCTTCTCTGGCCCTCGTTCTTGTCTTTCTCTGCTGTCACTTGACCACTTAGCAAGGATATGCAGCAGCGCAGAAAAGACCTGCACCAGTTGTTTTCTTTGTTGGAGAGATAAGTGGACGTGCCTTCAACTGCGACTGAGACATTCAGACACAACTTTTACTTTGCTTTTTCAGCGAAAATTTCTCATTTCTGTAACTTGAGAAAAATTTATGTTCATAAGTCACCAGTCTCTACAGAATCAGTCACCTGTCTTTCTCTCAAAGTTCAGCGCCTGTCTGCATTTGTATCTGTGATCTGCTGGACCTCCTGAAATGCTAGCGAGGTTTAGTGTGTGTTTTCCTTGTGTTTTAGCACAGAGTTTGTCTAGAAAGTTAGTTGATAGTAAGTGCTCAGGAAACATGTCTTTTGTTTGTTTCTTTGATTTATTGTGGTAACAGCTCTTAGAATTTTAGAATGTTTTGAAAATTGTATGTTTATCCTTGAGGAGAAAGAGTAGAAGAAAGGGGCATATGGAAACATCCCTGTTCTGTTTTGTGATGCTTAGACTGTTCTCGTCTTCCTTCTCCCCAGTTGCCCTCTGGAAGTTAAGTGTTGCAATCAGATGACATCATGAGTTCAAAAAAGACAGTATAAAACCTGAGGTGCAGGGCTAGGTGTCGTTTGCCATAAGTAGTGAAGGAGAGCCACCTAGTGAAGAGTGCATCTCAGGTAGAACCAGTAGCTCCTTGGAGGCCTTGTGCCAGCTCTGCTAACCATTAAGCCATTAGCTCACCAGAAGCTTTTATCAGATGCCCAGGAGTATGATGGTGTTTTGCAATAAACTCTCTCCTCATTGTTACTTGAGATTCATAAGGCTAAAGCATTCTAGTTGGCATAAGAAAACACACTTTTCTATTCATATGAGAGGACATTTTCTCTCTTTTGGTTTTAAAAAAAACACCAAGCAACCTGTTTGTGTTGAGGTTTTTTTCATTACTCCTAAATATTTTCTCCCCTGGTTTCCGCCTTTTTAGCATACCGTTCCTGCCTTTGCTGGAAGGAGCAGGGCTGTGTATCCATGCTTCTCTTCTGCCTAGTGTGGTTGGAAGGAGAACTGTATCATTTGCTGCAAACCATTAGCGCTCTTCTTACCCTAAAAACACTCAGTTGTCCCATTTTTGCTTCATTCCTTTTGAGGCAAGTGTGCCCAAGTAGATACAAAACAAAACTGCCCATACCTCTCTAGCAACCAAGTGATCTCTGGCTGCTGCTTCAGCTGCCAGACATGGCCTGATTCAAATATGTTTTTATTTTTCTGAGCCCCATTCATACACCCTGGCGTCAGAGTGAGAGGGTTTGCAGTTCTTTGTAGACAGAGAGCAAAATTTGGAGCTTCAAATTTATATATGTAAAAATTGGTGTCTGAATCTTTGGTTGGTTCAGTTTGCCTGTTGGCCCTTCAGTGGAATTTTATCATTGTTTTACAATTAAGAAGTATTGGAAAATATAATTTTAAACAGGGCAGGCACAGTGGCTCATGCCTGTACTCCCAGCACTTTGGGAGGCCAAGGTGGGTGGATCACTTAGGGTCAGGAGTTTGAGACCAGCCTGGCTAACATGGTGAAACCCTGTCTCTACTAAAAATAGAAAAATTAGCTGGGCATGGTGACACGTGCCTGTAATCCCAACTACTCGGGAGGCTGAGGCAGAAGAATCGCTAGAACCCAGGAGGTGGAGGTTGCAGTGAGCCGAGGTCATGCCACTGCTCCCCAGCCTGGGCAACAGAGTGAGACTCCATCTCCAAAAAATAAACAAAGTCATCTAAGGTAACTTGAAATACCTTGCTTTTAGCTATGTTGTCCTCTGCTTTTTCCAGTAATTACAAATGTACCTTGTTATTAGCCGGGCACAGTGGCATGCCTGTAATCCTAGCACTTTGGGAAGTCAAGGCAGGTGGGTCACTTGAGGTCAGGAGTTTGAGACCAGCCTGGCCAACATGGCAAAACCCCTTCTCTACCAAAAATACAAAAATTAGCCAGGCATGGTGGTGCACACCTGTAATCTCAGCTACTCGGGTGGCTGAGGCACAAGGATCACTTGAACCCGGGAGGTAGAGGTTGCAGTGAGCCAGGATCATGCCACTGCACTCCAGCTTGGTGACAGCGAGACTGTCTCAAAAAAAATTTTTTTTTAAAAAAGGACCTTTTTATCGACTGTATACCATGCCAAAATATGAATAGTAGCTTTAATGTGAATACGTATATATTTGCCCTGAATTTAAAAATATTTTCTGTTCGGGAACTGAAGCCCTCAAGGATCGTGTTTCCAACACTCGCTTAGTTTTATATGTATGTGTGAAAAATAAATACTGCCTATGGATTACTTTGAGACTGTTGAGATAACAGATGCTTTGTAAATAACATAGGTATAAGGTTGTGTGAGATAAATGTTGCCCATATATACTTACTAAGGACATGCGTTCCATTTTTCTCCTTTTTTAAAAAAACTTTTTCCCCTAACAGTTTTCCTTTAAACCTTGTTTTGTATAGATTTTCTGCTGCTAGTTATTGTGACATTGGACTGTTTCCCATAAGGAACTCGATCATTACCCGTTAGGGACCTCTTTTTAAAAATACTTTTAAATTTATTTATTTTCTGCTGTGAGGTATACATGCTCTTCTGGTAAATAAGTCTGAGGTAAGATATTGATAAGTGACTAGAGGAGAGCATTACATTTATTATATCTTTAATGAAGGAGCTCCAGAATATCCTTGATAAATACTGGTGAACTCATGACTGCATTTATCCATCTCTGGTTCTCCGAGGAATAATGGGAAGGGCCACAGCTACAATAACTCTGCATAATCATCATTGACTCTGACTCTATTGATTGTGATTAACCAAGATGTATGGAAAACAGTTTTAAGTGTGTAGTGCATGTATCTCATAAGGTCCATTAAGACGTTCATTATTTTTCAATTGATGCGTCTTAAGCCCCACTTGATGTTTGTTGTAGTGCATTTCCACAGAAGGATTCTGCACTGTGGGATTGAGTTCATTTTGTTAATTGCATAATACAACCCCATCGTGTTTCATAGAAAATAGTAAATACTCTTGCTTTTATTGATTGGTATTCTTTGATATTACTGAAGAAATACCAAAGAAGCAAAGGAGCAAAGAAATACCAAAGAAGCAAAGGAGCAAGTGAATAGTTCTTCAAACTTTTACATATTAAGGGCACGAATGTTTCTTGAAATGTGGACACTGCAGTTTTAGGAGCCTCTGCCTGATTGCTCAGTAGGCTTTAAACCACTTCCATCTTCTGGGTTTAAGTCAGTAGATTCATTCATTCCGTCAACACCCACTAAGCATGGATGAATACCACACACAACCCCCCTGGTCATGGCGAGTTTATAGGCTGCCAAGGGATCCAGTTACTGGTGTTTACAGAACACTCTGGGAGGTGTTAGGGTTGGGGAGGAGCACGGTGCCATAACATGCTAGGGAGAGGCACCTCATACAGGCTCAGCATCAGGCTAGCTTCCTGCTGGGAAATGACTTTCAACCTGAATCCAGAAGGATGACTAGGACTTGGCCAGGTGGAGTTTTATATGGGGCAGAGATGCTGCCCTCCTCACTCCCCAACCAGTAGTGATCATGAATAACTCATTACTGCATTTGTTTTTCTGGTAAGCTGGATGAAACACAGCTTCAGAATCCTTCTCAACACAGAGCTCTAGGCAACCACTACCATGTACTGGATTTGACACACAAACGAAACCATTTGCTGTTCCTGGCCTGAAGCCTCATAACAGGGCCCCTCTTGGCTGCTCTGGGTGCCTGATCAGAACAGAACTGTGACTTGGTTTGGGAGTGGCTGTTTGTGTATGATCCTGTAGAGAAAGAAGTCTTGCTAACGGTTCCATATGTTCTCCTGCATCCCCTGAGAAGCAGGCATGGGAGGCAACAGGTTGCATCTGCTCAGCTCCCAGTCCTGCTCCCAGCATACTGAGCCTTTTTTGTTGGCTTCTCGCCTTCCAGTTGCAATTTAGTGGTCGAATTGATGGGTTAGGGTCAGGGGCTGTGTCCTGCAAACCTGAGTCATAATATTGAAAACAATAAATTCCTTATATTGCACTTAAATGGGGGTGGTTCTTAAAAGCAGTATTTGTTTAAAGACAGTGTCATCTGAGGAGGCAGAGTGGCTTGTTGGCTAAGCAGTGATTGAGAAAAACCTGGGGCACATTTTGATCCCAGCTGTGCCACTAAAATGTTTCTTGTGACCCTGGGTAAGTCACTTAACCTTACTTCTCAGCATTCTTAAATCAAAACAACCCCCCAGCTTGCTAGGAAGGGCCTTAAAAAATTTTGTTTTTAGCAAATAAGAGCTGACACCTGGAAGCAAAATGGAAACGCTGCTGGATACTTATGAAGAAGAAAGGTTGTTTTTAGCTGTACAGTATTTATTCCTTCTTATTCTTCTAGTCCCTTAGTCCAATAAGTAGTCTGCTTATTGGAAACTTACTAGTTAATGAAAGCTCTTTGGTGGTAAATCATTTTAAATTGTCAATCCCTCTGTCGTGCAGAGCTTGAGAGAGGCTCTATTCCCATTCTTTCAACAAAAAATCAGCTATGGTCTCTGACCTATTTATTTAGAGGTAAACTCAACCTTGCCAAGTGTAGAAAAGACTGGGAAAGCACACAGCTTCACTGGGCTGGGGCATATCCTCATTTGGAAAAGACTTCTTTCTTCTTCAGTTTTTCCTTAGTGTTCTTACATCAGCTAGTATATTAGTTGCAGTTGTACTTTGCACAGACGCTAATTAGAGAGCCATCAACATTGGGTTCCAAAGGCTTACTGACAATGTAACTGTCATAGTGGCATCTTAATTGGTTGAGTGTAATTGTCATTAGGCAGCGATAAAGACATCTGGAGCTCTGGAGAAAAATCAGCCTTTTTTCCTACCTCCATTCGTTATCTGTTCTTGCTGCTCCTGGCCAATGTTGTTAAGCACTTTTAGATCACATTTAGGGTTTGGTCCAGGTCCCTCTGCCCCAACCTGTGTTTTACCCTACCAAAGATGTCTGTTTCCTTAGCACAAGTTCATGAGCATGGAGGCTGCCTCCCATGCTATTGTGGCTTTCACTTAGGTTAGATTTGAGAGCCCGCTGCTGAGTCATAATGCAGTACCTGCTGCAGTAGCATATTTAGTCTCAGTTCCTGTCAATACAGGAGACGTAGAGGCTTTTATATTTTACCTCCTGAGTCATTTTGCAGCAAAACATTTATGTTATTATCATACCTTTTGGTCATGGAGAATGAAGTTAATTTAAATAGATATATGGAAAATTTCATGTTTATTGAAATAATTTAGCTTATCCCCTGTTTTATAGTTTTTATTCAGTTTGGAAATAAGTGGAAGCAGTCTAATGCACATCAGTGTGTACATTCTGGGTGTTTCACTCATCATTACCATTGGAAAGTGGGCAGTGGAAATAAAGAGGTACCCCTCAAGCCAGTCAGGTTGTTACCTGCGGACACCCCCTTTCAGTCACTATTTATGATGAGCTCTGCATAAGGCACTGTGATGGAGGCTATGGCACTGCGGTAGGGCCTTCTTGAAGACTTTACAGTCAAGTTGAGGAGACGATCAATGCATAAGGACTGTATTAGTAAAAGCAGTTTCTTCAGATAAAGGGCATAGTAGTTGAGTCAGAAAGCTTCAGGCTTCAAGGAGGGGAGGGGAGGGCCTGTGTTAGACCTTGAGGGGTTGGTAGGATTGGGCTGGGTTGGTGATTCTCAATCTTGGCTGTATATTGAAAACATTGATGCCTGGTTCTATCCCCAAATGGTCAGATTTATTTGGTCTGGGAGGCTGGAATGCAGTGGCACAATCTCGGCTCACTGCAACCTCCACCTCCCAGTTCAAGCGATTCTTCTGCCTCAGCCTCCCAAGTAGGTGGGATTACAGGCACGCACCACCACACCTGGCTAATTTTTGCATTTTTAGTAGAGACGAGGTTTCACCCTGTTGGCCAGGCTGGTCTCAACCTCCTGACCTCAGGTGATCTGCCCCTGCCCTCAGCCTCCCAAAGTGCTGGGATTACAGGCATGAGCCACCGTGCCCGGCCTGTATCTGCACTTTTTAAAGCATTCCAGGCAAATTTAATGTGCAGCCCAGGCTGGACCCCACTGGGCTGGGAGGTGAGGAGGTGAGGTACTGCAGCAAGGTGGGGCAGAGAATCAGAGTTCAGAGGCAAGAGCATTTGGGATCCTCTCTGGAAGCCGGCCCGTGTGAAGGGAGAGTAGAAAATGAGGCTGGGGAGAGGGGTGGAAGTTAGTTTGTGGTGGGTTTTCAGTAGGTCTCATAATTAAAATTTCATTCAATAAGGTGTTAAGATGTAAGACTTTATAGAGGGTTCTCTGGGTATATGGCAAGCGCTGTTCTAGTCTGTCTGTTCCAGTCATTGCATGCACAGCTATGAACAAAACCCAGACCCTGAGCTCAGAAGCTTCAGGCTGGTAGGGAGATGAACAGTGAGATGATCACAGACATGCACCACTGCCATGACGGAGACGTCCAGGCTGCCGTGAAGGTAGATCGTAGTGCGGTGTAGTGTGGCATGTGAGGGAGAAAGGAAGTAAAGGAAATGGTTCCAGAAGAAAGATTCATGCAGTCAGGTGTTTTGAAGGGCTTGGCTTGTGGGGGGAGGATTGAATGGAAGAAGCTCCGAATCAGGGAGCCTGTAGTAGTCGGGTGTGAATGTGAGGTGTTGGGGGATTTGGACCAGGGTGGCTTCTCTGGGAATGAGCAGAACAGAACAAGCTTGGCACCTGAGCATCTATAGTGGTGCGGGTAGTGGGCCACAGCGGTGTTGAAGGGGCCCCTCTCCTTCTGTACCAGTGACCTGGGACTGATGATCCCATTGATAAAAATAAGGAATTCAGACACAGGCTAGCTTGGCCATGAGCTGAAGCATTTGATTTTAGACGTGTGGAGTCACAGTGTGAGTGGACCAACCTCCTCTGTGGGAGAAAGGCTTGCCCAGGAGCCCCTCAGATATGAATAGAGTGCTGTTATCTGTGGGGTTCCTGCCCTCACTCTCTTCTCTTTCTCTGAGTAAGGAGCGGGCTCAACAGTTTCTGTTTCACAGCTCACTATTGTCTGGTTCAGCAGCTAAAGTACCTTTTTCCCAAGCTTTGTTGTTTTGCTGTCATTTTGGCTCCGAACTCTTTGTGTTCAGGGAGCTGGGGGGCTGGAGCTGAGGCCACCTAAACCGTCTTTCCTCTCCACCCTCGCCTCCCCACTGTGTCCCCTGGGGGGGCACCACTGAAAACAGTGTGCAGACTGCTGGTGTGGTGTGACACATGGTTAGCAGGAAGCAGAAGGACAGAGACTGGCAAGAAGGAAATACAGTTTCCTAGTTTATGTACTTCTTTTTCTGAACGTGCCTTACTTTTCTGATCTGAATTCCCTTTATCTTTCTTTCACTTACCATCTGTGTATTTCTGAAAGACGTTGCCATCCTTCTCATCTTTCCTGAATTGGCTGGTTCCTGTCACATAGAATTTAACCTTAAGAATCTAGTCCCCCAGTCTAGACATTCAAACATGTCTCATCTGTTGTGTCTCTGTAGCTAAGCAAGTGGCCTTACTCCAGCAAATGGCCTGAGTCGTTCTCAGGGTGTCACACTGAGCCCGGTATTTTGAGGGCAGTGAGCTCCAGGGTATGTGTTCTGGTATAGGGTTCCTCATTGAGAAGGGTGAGCTGACCGCTGCTTGGAGAGCCTGGGGGCCAGTGGCCGTGCTTTGGCTGGGGTGATCTCAGGATCTGCCCTTGCTTGCACGTCGCTGGGCTTAAGGACATTCATCTTGTGTTTCTGTTTACTGGAGGATCAGTGGTCAACCCAGAGGTACAGCAGGCCAGGTTCAGAAAGCACGTCTCTCCCGTTTGGCTCTTTATCCCACATGCGCACTCTCTGGGTGCCACCCTGCAGGTAGAGAGCCAAGTTCTCCAACCAAGGAATTGGGGTGACAGAATGGCCTTTGGACTGTGCAATATATGTATTTACTGTAGATTAAGAATTTGGGTGCAGTACTACTAGTAAACAAAGCACTCCTGAATCAGAGTACTTCTCTATAAGAAATTCCACCTGAGGCCAGCTGTGGTGGCTCACACCTGTAATCCCAACACTTTTGGAGGCCGACGTGGGTGGATCACTTGAGGCCAGGAGTTCAAGACCAGCTGGGGGAAAACCCCATCTCTACTAAAAACTAAAAAAACAAACTAGCCGGACATGGTGGTGCACGCCTATAATCCCAGCTACTTGGGAGGCTGAGGCAGAAGAATTGCTTGAACCTGGGAGACGGAGGTTGCAGTGAGCCGAAATTGTGCCACTGAACTCTAGCCTGGGCAACAGAGTGAGACCCTGTCTCAAAAACAAACAAAAGAAAACAAAAACCAAGAAATTCCAGATTGGTCTTCTATAGCTACTTCACTAATGTGTCACATCATAGATTTCAGTGACTCAGTGAATCTCAGAGGTTATCTCATCAACTCGGCAAAGAAACCCTGCAGGAACTATGGCTAGGGCCTCAGGAAGACTATGAACCCCCTTAAAATCATTGGCCTATCTTTGTGATTGTGTGGTTCTATCATGAGGCCCTTAAAGGCATTTCTCACCACTTTTCCCCCCATAACACTCAGTTGCTGTACAAGTGGAGTAAAACCCTCTGCAGCAGACATAAGCAACATAGCTTAAATACCTTGGTGATGGGCAGCACCCCACTTTATCATCTGGCCATTCTGTCATCCTGGGGGCCTCAAGTCTGAGTAGGTTCGGCCTGGCCTGGCTTTGATGGAAGCAGTCATTTGTTGGAGTGGCACTAGTCATAGGAGAGAGTGAGTACTTCTATTTTCTAAGTGGGCAAAACCGGGCAGTGTCGCGCATTCAGCAAGAGCTTTTCATGAGCAGGCAGCACTGTCTGGCTGCTAAAGGCAAGATTTAATTGTTTCAGCAAATCAATTAGTCTTCAGGGACTTTAATCAGTCAAATCTGATGCATGGATGAGGTATTAGAAAGCCTGTGCCTGTGAGACCATTAGTTCTGAGTATCCCTGCAGCATCTCTCTCTGTCTTTCCTGTGAGTGAGTGTGTGCGTTTGTGGGTAAATAGTGGGGCTTATACAAATTTCTGCAAGTGATCCCTGTAGTGGGAGAGCTTGCAGGAGCAGATTGTTGTAATAGTGTAAAAGGAAAAGCAAGGAGATCTTGCTACCCATGTCTTATTATTGTTTTCTCATTTGAAATTGTCACCATTGTGCTGTGAGAATGTGAAGCGTGTTCACAGCCTTCTGTCATCTAGTTGACATTTTCTCCTGTTGGAGTCACTCATCTAAACAGTGCCTCAGCAGTGGCTCTACACCACCCGATTCTTACTTGTCTGTTGTTGTAAGGCTCTGTGCATTTTCCCCACCATAGCCCTGCTCTTCAATCTCCTTTTGGAACCAAGTGTGTCGTTCTCTTCCAGATATACATCAGGGGATGTGAGAGTGTGGGACACCCGCACCTGGGACTACGTAGCCCCCTTCCTGGAATCAGAGGACGAGGAGGATGAGCCTGGAATGCAGCCAAATGTCTCCTTTGTGAGGATAAACAGCTCGTTGGCAGTAGCAGCTTATGAGGATGGTAAGTAACCACAACCCTCCTCCCTATTAAGGAAAAAAAAAAGCTTTACAAAAATTAAGCAGCTGTGGCCGGCTCCCCCCTGTAATCCCTCCATATGTACACGTGGGCACACACACATGTTCACACACATACACTCACTCTTGCTTTTATTTGAAGAAGTTGGCCAACAACCGTCAATGCATTAGTAGGCATTGGAACACAGCACCCATTAAAACTGGTGTTTAATTCCTACTGGAACTGTCAGGCTGGGCGCTAGTGCCAGACACAAGGCTGGCCAAAGCATCTTAAGCAAATAACTTGTTTGATGTAAAATATTAAATATACTTGGCCTACTTTTCCTTTAGCCTCTGCTCAGCCCAAAGGGAATAGTGAAAAGGGGATAGACATAGGTCATCTATTGATAAATGTAGTTATAGAAAAATAAAAGTCAGTGCCTACCTTTTCCTGTCACTTAATATACCATACCAGATAATTGGTAATAATATGTTTTCTCTTTGACATTGATAGAATTCTTTTTGTACATGAACAACTATGGATTTTTGGAACTAGGTACGAATAGTCTAAAGTTAGCTTTATCTATGCAAAGAAACTCTTGACAGCGTATAACTACTAGAAATGGTCATTTCAATGGCCATGATATCCAGTATGCCCACCTGTCATGCTCCTATCCTCCGTTATGTTGTGAAGTGTTGAATCTCCACAAGCTTCATGTCCCCACTTGCCCAAAAGTTGGGACCACAGCATATTTCAGAATGTTAAGTGTTCATGTCATGGCACCACTGCAAATCTTCAGAGTCAGTGTGACATTAGCAGTTGGCTCAGAGGAACAAAACTAAAGTAGCTAATGGGGAATTTTATACCCATGTGCTGTTTAAAAATAAAAATTAGGGCTGAGATCTTACATACATACCTATATATATTTGAGACAGGGTCTCACTTTTTTGCCCTGGCTAGAGTGCAGTGGCACTATCTCAGTTCACTGCATCCTCAACCTCCCGGGATCCAGTGATCCTCCCACCTCAGTCTCCTGAGTAGCTGGGACTACAGGCGCATGCCACCATGCCCAGCTAATTTTTTTTTTTTTTTTTTTAAGAGATGGAGTTTTGCCGTGTTGTCCAGACTGGTCTTGAACTCCTGAGCTCAAACTATCCACCTGCTTCAGCCTCCCAAAGTGCTAGCATTATAGGCATAAGCCACTGCACCTGGCCTTGAAAATATTTTTATATTTTATATAATTACTTTAGCAACGTGATGTTGGTTTGATGTTAGTAGACACTACTGATGGATTTCCTTTTCAGCCTATAGAAATTCAGCTGAGCTGTTTCTGTGGTATAATTAATATTTCATATGTTTATTGAGACCCTGGATAGATACCATAAGAGCAGCTTGAACATGTTTGCTACTTTCCAAATTATCAATGAGTTTTGTTTCCAAAATACCTATGCAAAGATTGCAGTACTTTTAAGTTAGAATCATATAGTTTTAGGATCATCTAATAGCCTTTCCCTACCATTCACACACACGAACATGCACACACATATTCTTCTACAGATGGGGAAACAGAGGTGCAAAGAAGCCAGGTAGGTTGAAGTCAGCAGTGAATCCAGAACTGTGATTGTGTCTCCAGGGCCGTGCTGCGGTGGTCGTGCTGTTTGTGGAATCCTGAACATAAAGACTCTTGTAGAAATGTGCGCCCAATTGATTTGCAGCCCATGTCTCACATCTCGTGAGCTTGAAAATACAGCTTGAGGTGATGTGCAGGGGTGCTGCTGCTGGTTTTATATTGTGAGAATTGTCTTCATTGCCCTCATCCCCTGTTGTTGCACAGAAATGTTGGGAAACAATGTAGGCATGATAAAGAATCTACTTTTTTTTTTTGAGACAGGGTTTTGCTGTGCCACCCAGGCTGGAGTGCAGTGGCACCATCTCGGCTCACTGCAACCTCTGCCTCCCGGGTTCAAGTGATTCTCCTTCCTGCCTCAGCCTCCCGAGTAGCTGGGATTATGAGTGCCCACCACAACAACCAACTAATTTTTGTATTTTTACTAGAGACGGGGTTTCACCATGTTGGCCAGGCTAAGAATCTGCTTTCTTTGGTAAAATGCTTCGCAAGTGATTGCCAAAATGTATTTTAAATTCTTTTTTTTTTTAAAGTCATAGTTAGAATTCAAACAGAGCAAAAATGTATATAAAATGACAAAGAAAAAGTATGCAAAAAGAAGTCGAGGTATTCCTCCCTGTCCCACTTCCAGGCCCTCTCGCATTTTACTCGTGGGGGGTCCTGCTCTGTATACTTCTCTGCACCTTTTTTTTTTTTTTTAATAACCTAATGGCACATCTTGGTGATCTTCCGTGTTCACACTTACAGGGTAAACCTTATTCTTTTTAATGCCTGTGTAGTACTGCATTATGTGGCTGTACCATCATTTATTTATTAGGGTCCTCATTGATACACATTTGAGTTGTTCATTTTTGTTATTGAAAACAGTGCTGCAAGCAATATACTTGAACAAATGCCAGGATGGACTTGTCCAAGGGTGGCCCTGGGGTGAGGTGCTAGTGATTGCTAGGTTGGAGGCTATGGCTGCAGGCTTTGGCTGCTTTAGGCTTTGATAACTATTGCCAAATTGCCCTCCAAAAAGGTTTCACCAGTTTATAGTGTCACCAAAAGTATGTGAGAGTGACTGACAGGTAAAAATGGCATTTTATTGTCTTTGTTTGCCTTTCTTTAATTACATGTGGACATCTTTTCTTTGTGTGTTGTTAGCTGTTTCTATTTCTTTCTCTGCAAATTGTTTGTTCCTGTCTTTCTTCATTTTTCTTTTGGGTTGTCATCTTTTCTGGTTGAAAAGAAAGCTTGGGAAATAATCCTTGCCATATG
This sequence comes from Homo sapiens, assembly GCF_000001405.40. NCBI lineage: Eukaryota > Metazoa > Chordata > Mammalia > Primates > Hominidae > Homo > Homo sapiens. The sequence goes on from NC_000012.12 coordinate 116,967,736, forward strand.
TGTTTCCGATATTTTTTCCGTAAGTCACTTATTCTTTTTTGTTTGTTTTGAGATAGAGTCTGGCTTTGTCATCCAGACTGGAGTGCAGTGGTGCGATCTCGACTCACTACAACCTCCGTCTCCTGGGGTCAGGCGATTCTCCTGCCTCAGCCTCCTGAGTAGCTGGGATTACAGGCGCCTGCCACCACGCCCAGCTAATTTTTTATATTTTTAGTAGAGCTGGGCTTTCACCATGTTGGTCAGGCTGGTCTCGAACTCCTGACCTCAAGTGATCTGCCTGTCTTGGCCCCCACAAAGTGCTGGGATTACAGGCTTGAGCCACCGCGCCTGGCTTGTCATTTATTCTTTAATGGACTTGTTTTCTAGAAGGTACTTGGTATGTGTGAACAATGTTAATTTTTTAATCTAAAAGTGAGTGGGGTTATTTTGTAATTTAATGTTTTTGATTACTACATTTTTAGGGTTCAAAGATCAAAATAATATAAAGTTATATATTGAGAAATCTTGCTGCCACCCACTTTTGTCTGCTCCATTCTGAAGTAACCATATTTTTTACTTTCTTGTATATCCTTGTATTTTAGTATTACAAGTACAAGAAAATATGAGTGTGTATATTCTTATTGCCCCCTTTTTAAAAAACAAAAGATAGCATACTATTTACTTTACATGATTCCACACCTTGGCTTTTTTCTCTAAATAGCATATCTTAAAAGGGAGTGCATGTCTGTGTAGAGAGAGTACCCCGTTTGCACACCTGAATGGTAATTCCATTGTGTATAAGCACTTTGGTTTATTGAAGGACAGTTGTGTTGTGTTTGCCGTTACAGTGTTGTAGTGAAAAACCTTGTAAAGATGACATTTCACACAAGTGCAAGGAGGATTGTTTTCTGGGTTACAGGGTAAATGCAAGTGGGGTTTTACTATTTTATGCTCTTACCAGCAAGCCATGAGAGTGTGCCCGCTTCCTCACAGTTTTGCCAACAAAGTATGTTTCCAGCTTTTGGGTATTCATCAGTTTGAGAAGAAATGGTCACCAAGTGTAGTTTTAATTTACATTTCTCTTAATGTGAGAAAGGTTAAATTAAAAAAAAAATGTGTACCTGCTACTTGTAGTTCTTTCTTTTTCTTCTGTTACTGTTATGGCTTATTTTTTATATTTTTATCTTGACAAGTTCGTCTTGGATTAGCATGCAGTATGGTTCCAAGTACATCTTTTTTCCAGCATCTCTTCTCGGAGAGCCCATTTCTACCTAACTGGTTTGAGGTGCTGCCTTTATAAGCTTTTAGCTATGAAATTCACTTTGTATCTGGGTCTGTTTCTGAACTTTGTGCTCTGTTTCAGTTGGTCTGTCTGGCAGCTTAAATTTACATCAAGCTTGTCAGTCTTGTCCTTTGGGGTTTCACGTCATGGTTGGGAAGATGATTACTCAACGCCTGGGTAAAATCTATAAGTGCTTCCAAGGCTGCAGTGTTTCCATTGAAATCTTTGATTCGTTTCAAGTTCATTTTGGTATTAAGGGCTCTTCCTTTTTTAGAGCCCTTGTGTTTCCCTGCTCCCCTCTCATGCTGAGCTTGTTTCATTGGTCTGATTCGGGTTGTTACTGTTTCTGTGATAAACAACAACTTCTATTCTTTCCCCAGACGTCAGGTGGCGTTACCTTTGGTCCCCCTTCAGTTTAACAGATCGACACTATGATATTTACACTAACATTTTCGTGAATAGCTACTTTTGGGCAAAGACAGATTCAAATAAACCCACATTTTTATATTGCTTCTTTCCAGGAGCAGCTAACTGGCACTTCTGAGGCAGAAACATGACAAAAAAAGGAATTTTACCTTGTGGGTTCTGCTGTCTAAAATTTGTGACACGGAAAAGAAGAATAAGACAATAAAATGAGTTAATGAACTTCAGTTCTCTGGTTGTGCCAAAGTGAGGCTCTGTAGCCATTGAAACGCCCTCGCTGGTCTACACGCACATTCTCGGTGGAGGGAATCGTATCCAGAGGGGGAGATGGAACCTGCTTTGGGGAAAGGGAGTCATCCCTGCATCCCTTTTAGCCTCTTTGCTCCGTAGGAACACTGTACATGCACCTGGGGTGTTGAGATTTGGCAAGGTGATCCACAGTTGTGATTTTTTGAATTCCAACCCTCTGGCCTCATATTTCTTCTGCCTTGTTTCCGATTGTCAGCACTGGCCATCCTCCAGTTTGATTTTACCACTAATTGTGTTGCACGTTACCATACCGAAATGAATCAAATCAAAATGCTTTTCCTGGAGCATTAGATAAAGCAGGCGAAGGTTCTGAGTAATGAGCAGATGCTGCTAATGCAGGGACGGCGGAGACCTTGCCAGGACTCCATCTGCTCCGTGCTTGCCTGCCTTTGGCCTCGTGCCACAGCATTAGGGAATGGCAGTGTGCTTCGAAACCCGCTCCCTGGTCACCGAGTTTGTCTTGAAATCTCGCTCTTTGGTGAGAAATGAGATTACACACTTCTTAGGTGCAAAGAAGTTTTTATTTGTCCCCCTCAGTAGAGAGAGGAGAGACGCGATCTGGTGCATATTAGCATGAGGAAGCCTGGACGGGACAGCCAGCAGTCCTCTTTATATGGTGCCATCAAGCACGGCAAAGTGGCTTATCCACCTCCGCAACACTCCCAGTGCAACTGTCTGAACGCACACATGCTCCATTGTCCGGGACTGTGGCTGCCCTGGGCGGAGGTGACTATGATTTCTCATTTACTGACGTATCAACAATGGACGGGGGTGGGTCTCTCCAAGCTGCTTTTTAGCGGTGAACAGTAGGACCATGTTTTAGTTAGACGGCTGTAGAGACTAGGTACTTCTAAAGTTTTACTTAAGATTTTGTTTTTAGTAAAAAATAGTTCTTCAGTTGTTTTGCTTGTATCTTTTGTTTGTATGCTGATGATGACATTTGGATGTGATGACATGGCCTTTGAATGCAGTAAACAACTACCCCCCTGCCCCCAACATTGAAGTTTTAGAAGTGATTCTTAACATGTTAAAGCATTGCTTGCGAGAAGGCTAAGGCAATTGATGGATTGTGGAGAAGTTGATTTTTTTCAAGGCCTTTGTTTTCCAGTCAGTCTTGTCCTAAAAGTTTCAATCATCAGTTCTTGCCTGGTACCTTTGCCTACTCACCCTTAGGTCCAGGAATCTAGTCTTCATATTCAGACACTTTGCAAACAAAACAGAATGAGACAACTTTCTAACAGAAACCAAAAAAACACACCAGGTATAGTCCTTGTAAAAGATAGGGTATGTTCATAAATGTAAACTTTTTTTTTTAACACTAGGAATGCTCACATTTTAAACATTCAGAAGGGAATTAAAACATCTAGGCTGGGTGTGGTGGCTCAGGCTTGTAATGCCAGTGCTGTGGGAGGATCTCTTGAGCCCAGGAGTTGAGACCAGCCTGGGCAACATAGTGAGCCTCCGTCTCTACAAAAAATGAACTAGCTGGGCATGGTGGGGTGCACCTGTGGTCCCAGCTACTTGGCGGGCTGAGGTGGGAGGATCACTTGAGCCCTGGAAGTTGCTGCAGTGAGCTGTGCGTGATTGCTCTGCTGCATTTCTGCCTGGGCAACAGAGCAAGACCCAGTCAAAAAAAAAAAAAAGGCAGAATTCTGAACTGAGGGGGTTTTGGTGTTTAAGAAATCCTTTTTAGGGCGTTGAACTTTAAGTTGACCTCCACCTGGCATATCTAGGATGTTAGAGATTGTTTCACAGACAGGCCACAGAGACTGTATTAGGGGCTGGAGGAAGTTGTTGAATACAAACGCTCTTTAAAAGTTTTTTCTATTCCTCAGTGACAGGAGCTTGAAATGATACATGCTCTGGGTAGAATCTGTGTTATATCTGAATAATGGGGCAGTGGGCCTCACATGAGAGTCTACAGATTGGATTTTGGGTGAGAGCTGTGAGATCTGTAGGAATTTTTTTAAATCTGTGCTTTTGTTTTTATGGTAATCTTAAAAAAAATAAAACTAGATCTTTTGACCCCATTACTCAACTGTGCTGTGGGATCTCGGTACCAGAATTTACACTTTGTGTTTGAGGCTGTTGGTACCAAGTGACCACCTGCATGCCCGTATTGACCTTGTCATGAATTGTTTTTCACACCAAGTGGCGTCCACAGTGAATTTTTAGGAATCTACAAGCCCTCAAAGTTAAGAAACACTGGAAAGGCACCATAGTATGCTAGTAGGCACAGACTAATGGATGACCAGTTTCTGGGATAACTATGCATTTTTGAAGTTACTAGTGAAAGTAAATTGAAATATTTTTTCTCCTGTAGAAAAATGTGGCACATTAAATTTACACTATAAGATTTAGTGTTACTCTTTTGGTTTCTTGGAGGTGGTTTTACTGAAAACTGATTTTTAATAATAGACATTAAGATGCATAAATTCACAGTAGCTGTTCTATTTTATTACAGTTGAGTTACAAACTGAAAGAAGCAATAGTAGCACAAGGTAGCTTTGGGGAGATAGTTTAGACTGGAGAAATAAATTGCCCAAGTTCTTAAGTGTACCTAATGACAACTGAGCATGAATTTATTTGCTTTCTCAAGGAAGATAAATCGAATTTTAAGTGAGAGAATTTAATTTCCCTTTCACTATGTGCAGTTTTGGTTGTAGCGTTTATTTCATTCTGAACCCTAGGGCTTGATCAAACTAGAAGTAAGTATATTTGTGGAATGAATATATTTTTGTTTGAAAAGCAAAATGCATCTGCTTGCCTGCCTTTTCATTCAAAAGGCCATTAAACGGGCCCAAGTGGAGTAGAAAGGTGGTCTGGGGGCCAGGGACAGTGTGAGAGGGAAGCTGAGCGAGGCAGTGGCCTGGGAGCTTGGCGGCATACAGGGAGACTGAGGAGGTAAGTATGTTGAGGCTCATGGGAGCCAGTTCTCTCATGCTTGGAGAAGGAAGGCTCAAGTACGGAAAGGGGATGGCCAGAATGAACCCTGTGGGGCTGGATTGGAATAGGAGGCATCGGTGTGGAATTTATGGTGTTAAATATAGATAGAGAAGTAAACAGAGATGTACATGTATGTCGTATGTATATATGTTTATGTGTGTCCTGGCTTTGTTTGCTGAGAAGGTGTAAGAGCATCAACAGCCCAGCTGTTGAAAGTATCACTATCTACTAAAAGGAACCAGGGATGCTTGGAGAAATGGTGGACTCCAGGGATGGGGCAGTGAAACCACACAGTAAGCCTGGACCATCTGATTGCACTGAAGTGAAGAAGTGCTTGAAGAATGATGACAACATGTCACAAGGACACATAAGTGAGCTTGAAGATGTTCCCACTGGCCAAACCTGGGACAACTGGAGTATCAAAGTCAATATTGATAATAACAGGTTACAACCCATTGAATAAAATAGGAATATATGAGTATATCATGATAAAAATAAACAGATCAATAAATAAAAAGGGAGGAGAGAAAAGTTTCCTTATAGTAGAATGTCAACTAATAAATGCAGAAAGCATGATGGGATTAGAAAATTACACATTGGCAACCATCACAGTAATAATTGATTCAGACAAAAAATCAATTGAGGCTAAAACCAGAGGATAAGAATGGGATGAGGGATGGGGTCTTACATGGTCTCAAAAAATCTCCCCACTAAACACTTACTAATTAAAAGGCAGGAAAAGATAACTCTGCAGTCAGGAAATCTAACAGGAACCGTCTTAATAAAGTGATCACATTTAACATCATCAGTAATGGTAGAATTGATAACCTGTGCCATGTGACACGATGCAGTGAGAAAAAACACAGAATCACTTCTTTGATATTATTCCAGCCAAAAGTGCACAGCCTGATCTAATCACGAGAAAATATCACACAAGCCCAAACTGAGGGACATTCCACAAAATGACTGGCCTGTCCTCTTCAGCACTGTCAAGGTCATGAAACTCAGGGAAGGTCTTAAGAACTATTCCAGGTGGAAAGAGAAGAGAGACCTGACAATGGAGTGCAGTGTGTCATCCTGGCTTGGGTTGTTTTTCTACAAAGAACATTACTGGGACAGTTGGCAATGGGATCTGAACAGTGAGTATATAGAAGTTCTTGCAGCTTTTCTGTAATTTTGAAAGTTTCAAAATAAAAAGATAAAAAATAACGTGTTTTTGAGAAAGATGAAGTAACAGGAACTGGATTTATCTTTCCACCTTAACTAGAAAACCGGACAAAATATATTAAACCATGGTTTCTAGACATTGGAAAATAAGTAGCCCATGGCTGTGATCTCTTGGAGGAGAACAAACATGGTGAGGCCCACAGTTACACCAGCTCACCAGCTGGAAACTCCAAACAAGGAGGGGGACCTAAACAGAGTCTGGTGGCCTCCCTGACTTGAGGAGGCCCCAGTGAGGGCTCAGGGAAGCCAAGGTGGATAGAATTTGTGGGCCAGAGTATTGGGGAAGAGGGAGCTCCCAGAGGGAGAACCCCAGGGATTGGCTGAGGATTCCCTCGAGTCTTTGGCTGAGTCCTACTCTGCACATGTGTAAGAGGAAATACCTGGATCAGGGAAAGAACTACCTGAAAGGAGAAGGCACAACAATTCCTGGAGCTCACATGAGGCTAAGAATAGTTTGCACTTCCCCAAGAGTAAAAAGACCTCGTAATACATGGATTGTTGAGTGGAATCTTCAGAAGGGTACCATGTTTTAGTAATGGGGCTAATTCAGCCCTAGACTAAAAGCTGCTCGGGATCCCCTAAAAAAAGTTGGAAAGCAAGCCACAAAAGGATCCAGCCGATTCTGAGTGTCTTAATTTTGCATCAGAATAAACTTCCATACTATTTTGTAGAATACAACAAAAGCTAGCAACCAGCAATGTAAAATTCACAATGTCTGTCATCCAATAAAAATGAAGCATGGCTGAGGCAGGAGGATCACTTGAGCCTGGGAGGTCAAGGCTCCAGTGAGCCATGATCATGCCATTGCACTCCAGCCTGGGTGACAGAGTGACACCTGCCTCCAAAAAAAGAATATATTGTGTACCCTGGTAACAGTAAGCACAGCTAGTGCCCAGATTTTGGTTTCTAAATGTTCTTCAATAAAAGGAACAAGGGCTAGGGCAGATAAATACAAGATGAATCTGGAACATTTTATGGGACCCAAAAGTAAGGATGTTTAAAATAAATAAAAAGATGAAGGTAGGGCATCTATAGGACAGTAGAACTAAATTGGAGCTCCTGAGGGCTAAAGGAAGGACAACTTGAGCAACAAAACATGATGATAGTGATGGACTATAACCTATGGATAATTAATTACCCATGAGTCCATATTGGTATCAATAAATACTTGAATAAATAAAGGAGAAGAGATAGCTCTTCCTTACAGTAGTAGTTGAATTGCTGTATGGGAAAGGATGATGAAAATAGAAAGCCACCATTTGGCAAGCACCGTAATCATAATTGTCGTAGGCAAGAATCACCAGCGGATGTTAAAATCAATGTGATGAATGTCTCTGTCCGTTTGGGCTGTTATAACAAAACAGTATAAACTGGGTGACTTATAAACAACAGAAGTATATTTCTGACATTTCTGGAGGCTGGAAAGTCCAAGATCAGGGCACTGGCAGATTCTATGTCTGGCGAGAGCCCTTCCTTCCAGGCAGTGCCTTCTCTCACATGGTGGAAAGGGCAAAGGAGCTCTCAGGCACTGTCGTCATGACCTGATCACATCCCAAAGGTCTCATTTCCTGGTACCATCACTTAGGGGGTTAGGATTTTAACACTGAAATGGTGGTAGGGGGGACACAACATTCAGATGAGCAATGAGTAACAGGACATTTGCATGGTGTGAAATTATCACTCCGTAAGAGAAAAACAGTAACTTTACAGTAGAGAAAACTGGCAGATACCACCTTAACCAAGTGATGATAGTTAACATGGCCAGTAATGAAACTTTGATATTATGTACCTCCTGATACATAATGCACTGGGAAGGCACAACACCTTCTGATTTTAAATATGAGGAAACAGCAGACAATTGAGAGGCCTACACAATAAATGAGCAGTACTTTTCAAAAGTGTCAGGGTCATGAAGGACAAGGAATGACTGAGTAATTGCCCCAGATTGGAGTCGATGAAGGAGACATGGCAGCTAGATGCTATGTGGAATTCTGGATTGGATCCTGGACCAGAAAAAATATGCTGGTAAGAGGACAGGTTAAATGCAAATAAAATCTGTAGATTAAATATGTTGCATCAGCGTTAATTTCCTGGCTTCCATCATTCTGCTATGGTTATGTAATAGGTTAACATTTGGGAAAGCTGGATGAAGCTATAACTGGAACTCTTTGCATAATTTTTATAACATTTTTGTAAGTCTGAAATTATTTCAAAATCAAAAAAGACTATCAAATTACAGGATTAAATAAGACTGGATTTTTCCCATAGCAATTTAATGCCATTTAAAAACAATGTTACATGATTACTTAGAAAAGAATGTGCTTGCCGCTTTTCTGCTGTCTGGCTGACTTGGAGGCCTGAGATTAGATGGTACCCTTGTGTTCTTTTGGTGGTGGTTATAATCAGGGATCCTCAGCATTTCTCTTTTTTGTATCTTGCTATTTGTCTTCAAGCTATTCCCCACCTGCACCCTCCCCTTTTCTTTAAAAAAAAAAAAAAATGCATGATGATGAGTACCTAATCTTTGGTATTTTGTTTCCAAAGGATCCTTTTTTTTTTTTTTTTTTTTTTCAAAACAGAGTCTCACTCTGTTGCCCAGGCTGGAGTGCAGTGGTATAATCTCAGCTCGCTGCAACCTCCACCTCCCAGGTTCAAGCGATTCTTCTGCCTCAGCCTCCTGAGTAGCTGGGATTACAGGCATGCACCACCACACCGGCTAATTTTTTTTTTTTTTTTGTATTTTTATTAGAGATGGCGTTTCACCCTGTTGGCCAGGCTGGTCTCAAACTCCTAGCCTCAAGTGATCTGCCCTCCCTCAGCCTCCCAGAGAATACTTTTTAAAGAATAGTGTAGCCATTTTATTTTAAAATGTCAACATTTACAAACATGCCAGATGTTACGTTTTTGCCACTACTTACAACTTAGGACAAAAAAAATTTATCGGTTTCATATATAAAACGGGAAAGGCAGGCCTTGTTTTTCAAAATCATTTCAGGGGGTAATCAAAAAAGTCTGAAGAGCACTGGTCTGGAAGGCAGGTGGCCATGTGAGTCTCCGTCTCTATTGGGCTCTTGTGATCCACTCTGGGCACAGGGGAGGGAGACCCGAGAGCCCCACCCCAGACATCGGGGCCTTGTGGCAAAACCATCTATTTGTTGGGGGGATTTGCATTGGTATCTGAATGCCCAAGTGAGATGTTAGGCTGTCTGTGGTTTCTGTCTTCTCATTCTTATTTGGTGTTAGGTAACTCAGAACCGACTGCAGTTTCGCCATCATTTAAATCTTTATGTAGACTTTTCCCCCTGCTTTTTATTTGAGCCATTTATTACTTTCCTTGAAAGGGAATTAATTGATAGTATAATTTTAAGATTTTTTTTTCAGGATTTGGAATGGGATTTCTAAAGGCTGCAAAATGTCATCACTAGAATTTTCACCGTAGATCTGAGAAGACACTTAGTCTGCAGTGTGGCTGTTGAAAACGTTTGTAAAACACAAATTAACGTATTTTTACTTTTGTTAGTGATAGCCTTTCAAATGGTTATTCTTAAAAATCTTTTATTGTGAAAAATTCAAAATACACAAAAATGGAACGAATAGCATGATGCACCCCCGTGTACCCATCACTCAGCTTCAGTAGTGATCTTTTTTTTTTAATCTACTACCACCCAGTCCACTGATTCCCCACTCCCCTCCTTAGAGGCATCTGCTACTACCAGTGTCTGCTGATCTCTTCGGGATAGAGTCTATATCATGTGTATATCGGTTATAGAGAACACTGGCCTCAGTCTGAGGCTGCATGCACAGTGATGTCTCTTTCACGTTACCTGCCCTCTGGAACTTTCCCTTGTAGAAGCTGGTCCAAATTCTTTGCCTTCTCCATCAATCTGTTTTTCCTAAGATGTTAACTGGAAATTCTTCTATCTAGTCACATTGCCATAGTCTTAACAATATACTATTTGCCTCCTTTTCAGTCTGCTGTCTCGTCATTTTTCATTCTTCTTTTTCAGGTGTTCTTTCTGCTTTGAATTTGAGAGCTACTAAATATATTCAATCTTACTTCCTCTTCTCTTGACTCAGTTTCTATTTTGGTGATCTCGCTGCTTTGTTTATGCCCTAACCAGTCGCCTCCTCCATAAGCCTATTCAGATTCTTTTACTTGTCAATCTAAAATGCAGATTCCAGAATGTTTTCTGTTTATTTTCTGCCTTAGGCAACAGAGCTGTAGCGCTGTGGTCAGCGGGAAAGCAGGATGGCATGCCACAGTAGCTGCAGTAACAAGAAACTTCAGCCTTTTTCCTTTTTCGTGACCCTCCGTGGTTTAGCTGTTCTTTATGACCCTTGTCTACACTGATACTAATCTCCCACCGGCACCTCTTCCATGAAGAGCAAAAACTTTTGTCCTGTCCAACTTTATGCTAGTTTTATGTCTCTGGCCTGCATTTCAGAGTGGTGATGTGTGGACTTAATGAACAAAGAGGTACGTGTTAAGTCAGTGCTATGGGTATATTTAAAATTTTTGTCAAAATGCCTTTTCCTTTGTTGCAGAATTTCTTTTGACTCCTGATTAATTTCTGATAGGCAAGTGTTTATTTACATGGTAGAAATTGAGATTGCCAGCTGTCTTTATTATAAATAGTCAACTTCATTCAGTATCTCTGAACGCAGTTAATTGATCCTGTCTATTTAACGATCATGAAGTTGACACCAAGCTTCAGGTGTTTATTGTGGAAGCTCAAGAGGATGGGAGCTCGCGGCTGAAATAATTTCTAATCAAGAAACCACTAAAGACCACAAGACCAGCTCTGTAGTTGAAGAAGGGACTAGTCTATGACCTTTCGAAACTGTTAACCTGTTTTAAATTTTGTGGTGCATGGAAAAGATCAAAGGGGAGGGAAGAGTATACCAATTGTGTTTTTTTTCCAAAACCAGTTCAGCAGTTATTTACCTTTCAGGCAATTAACATAATTACCATTATGCTAAAAAGTAATTTTGGAAAGTTCTGCCCTGAGCTCTTATGACTCCACCGGGACAGTTTTAGTTGGGACTTATCTTTTTGATGGAAGCTTAATTGCAATTTTGGCTTTGTGCACACAAACAGAAGCAGCTAATTGTTTAGGCAAATAGCAGATTAATTTAAATATGCATCCCTAATAAAACAAAAATGGTATCCATTATGGTCCTTGTTCCCATGACGAAGAATATAAATATTCTGTGCAAGTACCATTAGACAGAGGTCTTAAGGATTGTCGACATTATTTCACAGTGGTAGCACTTTCCAGATATCGAGTAATCTTTACAAAAGCTAACATAAATCAGTTTAAACTCATTTAGATCCCATTTCCACTATGTGCAGTTTCATTACCACACTCTGGCTGGCCTCCTTAGGGAGGTGGGAGGGGCCTGCTGCAAACTGGCATGGGTGCCCATCCACAGCTGCTGAGCAGGCTTTATGTCTCCTCGAAAGACTGGCCATCGTTACTCATGTCATCGTTAATGGCTGTTACTGGTCTAGGCTGAGCTCAGAGTTCCTTCAGCCTGGCTGCTGCTTGTCAAGGTGGAGGGTCCTGAGCCCAGGGAGCAGGTGGGAGTGCCAGGCCCTGCCCCTTCTCCTTTATTGGGCCAGTGGTCCTCACTTGTCTTCTGGATGTTTCAAGAGACCCAGTTTCTTCTTTTGTCTGCATCCTTTTCCTGTTTGTTATGAGTGAAACAGTATTGTTGCAATCCCAGCACTACTCAGAATTAATCATCTTTTATCCAGCTATTGAGGTTTGGTCAGGAAGGAAGAAAAACACCTGCTCTTTCTGTTTCTCTAGTGTGGGGCAAAATGGGGGCTATAAACTCTGGCCTTCAGGATGATGCCTGGTGCAGGGAATGGCAAAAAAAAAAAAAAAAAAACACTTGCTTCTTATGCCACTGCCAAGAAACCAAGTAGAACCTCCCTTTGTGTTTGCTGAGACTTTTTCTCTTGTTTTACCTTGGCCTACTGTGCAGGAGAGAAGTCGTAGAGATCTTTGGGCAGGGGGTTGTCTCCTTGCCCTGAGGTCCCTCCCCAGGCCCTCTCCAGGTGGGCATGTTCATAGTATTTGAGTTAGTCTTTTGGCCTCAGCTAATTGGATGAGGGATGGGGCCCCAGTTCTTGGGGGAAGCTGATTCATGGACTGGGATGGGCTGGTTGGGACTCAAACTTTGTTGCATTCTTGGAGTAGAAGACCTCCTGGAATGGGGACAGCCACCTTTCTCCATGTACCCAGGGATGAGAGAAAGCTGGTTTCCGAAAAGAAGAATGAAATAGAATTGCAGAGAGAAGCAGAGATAAGATCTGTGGTGCACACAAGTTACATACACTACCTTGGTTCTGCATGTCTTCCTGGTTCCTGGTTCTGATCCCTTATCACCTCCAGCTGTACTTCCTGCCCTTGGGCTCCATGAAGTAGCCTCATTCCTTTCCAGTCAGTTTCCTTTTTATGTTTAAGCCAGTTTCAGTGGGTGTCTGTTTCTTACAACCAAATGTTCCATTGCTGAAACATATGACAAGCATTAAGCAAACCTTTATTGATGTACAGCCACATCCAGCACTGTGAATTCCTTACCATAGGGCATAGAGAGGGAAAAGGACACAGTCTTGCCATTTCACAAGTTCACAGTGTCAGGAGCCAAATCCATTTCATTGCTAGGTCCGCAGTATGATAACACTTGACCTTTCAAATGAATTTATATCAGATTTAAAAAAAAATACCTATTTGAGAAGTGAATTTCCTTGACCCTGACAGGCATTAACTACTTCTTCCTTAGTAGTTATGCAATAAATGCAGACTTGGTTCAAGTTAAAACATCTAGAAAAGTTTGCTGCTCCTTTTCTGGGGTCTTAAAATAGTGTGACAGCATGACCAAAAGTTAAGCTTATTCATTGTTCCATTGTGCTTTGTGTATATCTCTCTGTGATCATTGTGTTTTATATTTTAGTTATTAAATATTTGTTTCTCTCCAGTGTGTGTTTTATGAAAACAGGTATCCTTTCAATTCTTATATGTCACTAAAATGTTGGCTCGATCAGTCAGGGACTTTTTTTGTTTTATTTTGTCTTATTCACTGTGATATCCCCAGTCCCTAGAATAGTGCCTTGGTACAAAACAGGGAGCTCTGTAACTACCTGTTGAATGTATTATTGCATTGATTCCTTTTTGGCTAAATGTAGCTGATGATAATCAGCCACACTATTATAGAGCATTCTTGTAATTCAGTTATTCACTATTCAAGTCCTTGCAGTTTTGAGATTATAAAAGTAGCCATGATATAACTGTAGTAACTGATAAATTGACCATTTATAAAATTAGCTTTCACTCAAACACCCCTCCCTGTTAGCTTCTGTATCTATTCCTGCCCACTCTGCCCATATGCTTTTGGGGCAGATATCCAACAATACAGTTCAAAGGGAAATTGCAAACCTTGCAGAAGCTGCAGGACTTTGTGATGTTGAAAGTGACAGTGAAAGAACTAGAAGTGGTAATTACATGGATAAATAGAAATGGCTTTTTTATTATTTAAATATCTTTAAAAGATAATTGCCTGCTTATGCAAAAGTAATAACAATGTATTTAAGGTTTACAAGATGTACAAATAAAAAGTTTGTAACATATGTAGAAATAAAAAGTATGACAGTAATAGCACAAAGGCTGGAAGGGAAGAAATGGAAGTATGCTGCTGTGAAGTTCTTTTTTTTTTTTTTAATTGAGACAGAGTCTCACTCCGTCACCCAGGCTGGAGTGCAGTGGCACTATCTTGGCTCACTGCAACCTCCGCCTCCCAGGTTCAAGCAATTCTCATGCGTCAGCCTCCTGAGTATCTGGGATTACAGGTGCCCACCACAATGACTGGCTAATTTTTGTATTTTTACTAGAGACGGGGTTTCACTTTGTTGGCCAGACTGGTCTCAAACTCCTGACCTCAAGTGATACGCCCACCGCAGCCTCCCAAAGTGCTGGGATTACAGGCATGAGCCACCACACCCAGCCTAAAGTTCTTATATAACATGTGAAATGATACACTATTACTTGCAGGTAGACTGTGATAAAGACTTATGTTAAAATCCAAAAGCAACCTCTAAAATAACAAAGAGTTTTGGCTAACAAGCCAACAAAGGAATTAAAATGGAATAACCACATTTAGTTATCCCAAATACTCAATCCAAAAAATAAAAAAGGCAACAAAAGAGGAGAAAAGGGAGCAAAGAACAGATGGGATAAATTTAAAAAATTAGCAAAATGGTAGATTAAACCCAACCTTATGAATAATCACAGTAAATATAAATGATTTAAACACCCCAATTAAAAGCAAGACCAACTACATGCTGTCTATGGAAAACCCACTTTAAACATATAAAGACACAAGCGAAAAGATGGGAGAAGTTCTGCATGCTAACACTAATCGAAAACTGGCGTGGCCATGCAAAGTGGATTTCAAAGCAAAGACTATAGTAACCAGGGATACCGAGGGACTTTGCCTGTGATAAAGAATCAACTCATCAAGAGGACATACAATCCTAAATGATTTTGCACCTAAAAATGATGTTGAAGAACTGTGCACGTGATATCAGCCCCCCGACAAGTGAGGATCTGATCAAGTGCGACACTTTATAATTGAAGTAGGGGAAATCGAAAAAGATGAAGACACAACAGGCTTTCAGGAGAGAAAGATTTGACCATTTAATTGATGGAGCCCTGGATTTTTTTTTTTTTTTTTCCCAAAAAGACTCTTCTCAGGATAGCTCTGTGCTACTCAACCTTGTGGTGAAGGATATTTTATTGCATAAAGTTCTGTTGGAAAAATGATGCCAGCAAAGCCAATACTTGATTAATAATGAAAAATGTGTTTATAGATAAACTCCATGTGTGCTTAGAGTGAGCTGTGGTTAAATAGCTTCCACGCTTGGCAGCACCCAGGGTGAGTGTGATGGTGTACGTCAGTTACTCATTGAGCTCATAGTTATTTTATGCACTTACAAATGCAGCCGCTCATCCTGCACTTTTCCAGCTAAATTCCAGCCCAACTTCATGACGTACCAAGTCATGACATAACAAGTGGCTTTGGACCAAGTTGTTTAACCGCTCGGTGCTTCTGTTTCTTTTCTGTGAGAGGAGTAAAATGGTGCGCCTCCCAAGATGGAAGTGAATGCCCAGTGAGAGGAGACACACGAGTCTCTGAAGACTCAGAAGCTCTATGCAAATGGGAGTTTTTTTTCTCTTTACTGTTGTGATGTCTCAAAACAAATGCAAACAAATGCAATGCAGAGTGTTTGAAGGAAGCCCATGTTAAGAGCAGACATCTTGGCATGGGAGAGCCGATCTCCCATCTGATATGTAGAGCCACTGGCATTTTCTGCAGCATATTTTTCTCTTCTGAGTCAGGATGGAAAGAATTTGCCAAAATAATTGCCAGGGGAATGTGCTGTGGAACCTTTTGTGATCCGCTTATCCCCCAAGTTTATCATAATTCTTAAGAGTGCACTGTGTTTTAGATGCGAAGCAACATTTAGCTTGAAGAAGGCTCTGCTTTTGTTTATAATTGCTTCCTTAGCCTACTGACAGTTTGGAAGTCTGGCAAAGCAGCCCAAATGTATTATTTTCTTCCAATTCTCTATATTTATTTAGTGCTGAATGATCCTTTATAGTAAGATCCTAAACTCAAAGCATTTATAGTTTAAAGACAAAGTAGAAGGCAAGAAAAAAGAAAGATAGGAAGATACACTGCCAAGAGAAGGAAAGCAAAAAGCTTGGTCTGTTCTAGATAATAGGAAGTTATAGGAAATAGGGCTAGATTTACGGATGATCAATAGAAGGGGAATTAGCATTGATAGATTAAATATGTTTTATAACACAGCAGGAACTATAGACTGCATAAAAATAAAAGACAGAAAGGAATGGTCCATCTTCAGTGCTTCGTGTGGCCGGTCTCCTTTCATCTGCCTCACAGTCCTATGTAGTAGGTAATGTTGTCTTCAACTTTACAGAAAGGCTAACAGGCTCAGAGCTGTTAAGCAGCTCCCCTAAGTCCGTCAGCTAACAAGTGCTGGAGCTGGATTTGAACTCAAATAGTCACAAACTGTTATCTCCACACATTTATTTCTTGGTGAATTTTGAAAAATTGAATCAATTGGAATTGGAGCAAGGCATTAACCAGCCTAATGCAGAGAGTAATCATTTTCTTGGGTAAATCTTCGAAGGGAAGGAAATAGCTTGGGAATGATAAAAAGAAATTATTTTTGAGGAAAGAAGAATCAATGAAATGCTAAGTACAGAAAAGGTTATCTGACTGGAAAAGCATAAGCTCCTGTAGACCACTGGTCCTAAACTCCAGTGGACATCCCCAGAGTTACTGGTGCCTGACAGTCTGCATTTCTAATAAGTCGCCACGTGGTACTGATGCTACCGGTCTGGAAACCACCCTGGAGAAAGGGTGTGTGGCCAGTGTGTGAAAGAGGAATTAATCTGGGTAGCAGCATTCCAGGTGCTGGGAGAAGAGTGGAAAATCGGCATTTTTGGCAAGTGTGGGATATTGAAGCACAGGTTTTAGAGCTGTGCAAAATAAAGCACTGCTGCTAACAGAGGCTTTAGGAGGATGGCGCTGAGGAAGGATGTGAAATTCAGGCTGAGCATCCCTAATCCAAAATTCCAAAATGCTTTGAAACTGTTTAAGCACTGACATGATGCTACATGTAGGAAATTTCACATCTAACTTCATGTGATGGGTTTGTAGCCAAAACACAGCCAAAACTTTGCTTCATGCACAGAATTATTTAAAATATTGTATAGACCAGGTACGTTGGCTCACACGTGTAATTCCAACACTTTGGGAGGCAGAGGCAGGAAGATTGCTTGACCCCAGTAGTTCAAAAAAGCAGCCTGGGCAACATAGTGAGACTGTGTCTCAGCTAAATTAAAAATTAGCTGGGTATGGTGGCACACGCCTGTAGTCCTGTCTATTTGGGAGGCTGAAGCAGGAAGATCACTTAGGCCCATCAGTTCAAAAATGCAGTGAGCTATGATAGCACCACTGCACTCCAGCCTGGGCGAAGAGTGAGGCACTGTTTCTAAAAAATAAAAAAGTAAAATAAAATATTGTATAAAATTACCTTCAGGCCATGTGCATCAGGTATATATGAAACGTAAGTGATTTCGTGTTTAGACTTGGGTCTCATTTCCAAGGTATCTCCGTTAAAAAATTTTCCTTTGTGTTGCATGTTTTTAAAATAATTGAACATATTAAGTAAATTTAAAATTGTTACCTGCATTGTTTCTTGCTGCATAGGGTTTCTTAATATTTGGGATTTAAGGACCGGAAAGTACCCTGTTCATCGTTTTGAGCACGATGCAAGAATACAGGCACTAGCCCTCAGCCAGGACGATGCAACCGTGGCCACAGCTTCTGCTTTTGATGTCGTGATGTTATCCCCCAATGAGGAGGGGTACTGGCAGATAGCTGCGGAATTTGAAGTTCCGAAACTGGTGAGCTTTTTAGTCTGGTCATCTTATTTTCTATTCTTAGAATCTCTGGGTCTAATGTAAGCACGTACTAATGGTGTTGGTAACTCCCATTCACTCAGAGCTTCCTGCGGGCCTTACCTCCATAAGTCTAACTACAGCCTTACAAAATAGGTAGTAGCATTTTCCCCATTTACCAAGAAGCCACTTCAGGCTGCTTAGAGCAGTGAACTGACTTGCCCCAGTTCTCAGAGGTAAGAAGTTACGATTCAAACCTCAGGGCTGACTTCAGGGCCAGAGCTGCTCATCACTGTGGTTCCTTGGCCTTCTTCAGACTAACACGGTGGAATCTCACCCTTGGGAATCAAAGATCAGTTTGACCTAATATATAAGTGAGAATGAGTTCAGTGGTGTTATCCCAGTCCATCTGGGAAGGAAGGTTTCCATTCCTACACTTTCTTCATCCCAAGACTGTCTCACCTGAAATTTAAAGTAACTCTTGCGTGAAGATAGATTTAAGTTGGTGTTAATTGGGTAGCCATGTTCCAGGATGTCATGTGTGCAGCTCAGCCAGCCTTAAGAATTCTTTATGTCGAGCTTATTTCTGAGTTCATTGGTACAGGAACCTCTAGATTTGTAGAGTGGGAGATGATTTGGTGTTAAGAAGGAAGTGCTCAAATCTGTCTATGCTGAGTTAGGATTTAATTTAAACAAACTTGATTTTGGCACTGGTAGGAGAGTGAGCAGAAAAGCCAACACTGAGTGATGAATTGAGGGCCTGACCTGGAACCAATCCTGTTCCTCCCTCTTTCTGTCTGTTGGGAATCTTCTTAGACTAGAATAACTTAGAAAGCCATGGCATCACTGCTTCACCTCCAGGAGCGTCTGCACTTTGAGTATAGTGCTCCCCTAAAATGGCCTGATGCTGTCAGCTCATCTGGGTTTTATTAGAAAAATGTGAAAGTACATTTCTGTTCTCAAAACTTCCATAGTACTTACTATTTAGTCTGTGATTAAAGAATACTGTGTCACAAGGTCAGGAGATCGAGACCATCCTGGCTAACACGGTGAAACCACGTCTCTACTAAAAATACAAAAAATTAGCCGGGCGTGGTGGTGGGCGCCTGTAGTCCCAGCTACTCAGGAGGCTGAGGCAGGAGAATGGCGTGAACCCAGGAGGCGGAGCTTGCAGTGAGCCGAGATCGCCACTGCAGTCCAGCCTGGGCAACAGAGCGAGACTCCGTCTCAAAAAAAAAAAAAGACAAAAAAACAACAAAAAAACGAATACTGTAGACCAGCAATCACTGTATGGACCCAGATACTTACTTAAGATGCCAGTTTCTCTGTAAAGTGCAAATCCTGCCTTGGCAATAAGGTGGCATCCTGGCACAGACTGGAAGCTTTTTGAACTAGTTTACAGCCCCCAGCAAATGGCACCACCACTGTCAATCTGAGCCTCTTGGTCTGTCAGAAAGCCAACACGGAGATAAAGTTAAAGGGCTAGACGGAGGATATCAGTTGTAGGAAAATGAGACATGATTTGGGGGAGTGAGAGGAACCGAGCAGCCATTGTTCAAGGCGGGTTTTATGCACGTTTTAGGAATTATTTTTCACTTTGAGTGAAAGGTTCCCACAAAATGCTCTGAGTATCCTTGGAAAAGGCACCCCTGGCCCGAAGAGCCAAGCCAGTTTTGTCTTGTCCATATACGCCCCTGAATGGCAGTGGCAGTGTTCCCAGGTCTGCGATATTAGCCTAGTGCGGCTGTCCTTTGTGATGGACCCGCAGCTTGCGGAGCTGGGCCCGAGTATTAGCAGAGTCCCCCGGATGTTGACGCTCCCTCCAGCTCTTCTGGACCGTGTTCTGGAGGCCGGCTTTGAACTCTTTGGCATATGGTCAGGGCAGCGCTGTCCTTTCACACTGTGGATTTTCATAATTAGTGTGGCTCACCTTCTATGTGTCCTCTCGTGATTTACTCGCAGAGGCGAAAGCCTGTTGCGAACGGCACCGCGGAGAAATGGGCCGCCTGTGGATGGACAGAATCAAATTATTCTTGAAAAGTGCGTCTCAGACTCGTGCACATTAGAGAAAGTGCCGGCGGTGACGCAGTCAGGACTGGGGAGCGGGGTGGGTAGAAACATGCGTGTTTGTAGAGCCTTCCTTACCCTCTGGTGGCCAAATGGACCCTGATGACGTTGAAACCAGGAGACAGCAGATCACTTGGATATTTTTAACCTTTTGGCCACACATTTTGACACAAATGTTAAAATTTTTTTTGCGAATTTGGAGCTGAATGTTATTTATTCAGTTCATTGTAAACAAACAAACAAACAAAAAACACAACAAAACCAAAAAAACCCCAACCTTTTATTTTTTGAATTGCTATTACATCCCCATGGTTCAGAATTTAAAAGACACAATAAAGCTGATGGTGGGAAATCTCCCCATCTCATAATCCACTTCCCTCCTTGAAGGCAGCCATTGTTAGAAGATGTATGGATGTGCGAGTCAAGCGCATTGTGTACTTTCTCCACCCCCACCTTGTACACATGTCAGCAGGTGGGGTTACCTAACTCATCTTGCATCCTTGCTTTACCCGCTAAGCTTATCTGGGAGAACCATGCCATTTGTTTCGTTTTATAAAGAACGTTTTCATGCTTCCCTCTAGGACTGCATGGTATTCCAGCGTATAGATACACTGAGTTATTTAATTAGTCCCTTAGTAATGGGTGTTTCTGTTTTTCTAGTTTTTAGCTAAGACACAATTGTACTACAGTTCATGAATAACCTTGTACATAATCATTTTTTATATATGTGAGTTTATTTGTAAGTAACTTCTAGAAGTGGATATCCTGGGTCAGAGTGCATGTTCATTTGGTATTTTGATAAGAGTAGCCAAAGTTCCCTTGATACAAGTTGGACAAGATTATATCCCCACCAGCAGTAAGTGGGATCCAGAAACATGGAACATGGTTTTCCCTCCTTCACTTCCAGCCCAGGGTGTTATCAGATTTCTTGATCTTTACCGATATGAAAGGTGAAGCATCATATTTCAATGAATTTTCATTTTATATTTCTCTTTTTAGGTGTGTCTTATGTTTCTCTTATACTGAGCATCTTTTCTGTTGTGTAAGAGCTGTTTGTGTTTCATTTCCTGTGAGTGTTTCATTTGCCCATCTTTTTCTGTTGGGTTGCTGGTCTTCTCATTGATGTGTAGGTGGAATTGCATATTTTTGATCAAGTCAGGATGAATTTATGGGACTAAACAACTCTTACCTTTTAACAGGTTCAGTACCTTGAAATAGTTCCAGAAACCAGAAGGTACCCTGTGGCAGTAGCCGCTGCTGGAGATCTGATGTACCTGCTCAAAGCCGAAGACTCCGCCAGAACCCTCCTTTACGCCCACGGCCCGCCTGTCACATGTCTAGACGTCTCGGCCAACCAAGTTGCTTTTGGTGTACAGGGTCTGGGATGGGTGTACGAAGGAAGCAAGGTACACAACTAGCAAGATATATAATTAACAAAAAAGAATATAGATTTATTTTTTAGAAGGGAATTGAAAAATTAAAGCTCTTCAATATTTTTCCAGATATATCAGGCCAGTATATAAGCATGGTCAAAAAATTCAAGAACTTCAAAAGGATTGCAAATGAAAAGTAATCATTTTCTTTCTCCTCCCTTCCCCCAACTTCCCTGCACAGAAGAAACTATTAACAGTTTTTAGGTATCCATCTAGAAAAATTTAATGCATATATAGGTACATTTGTATACTAAAAACATATTGTTGTAGAGATGGGATCATAGTATACATAGTGTTCTGTACCCAACATTTTTACTCCATAATGTGCCTTGGAGAGAGGATTCCATGTCAGCTTTTACCAAGCTCTCCCTCTCTAGGATTCCAGCATATGCTTCTAGCTCATAGCCTGTTTAGCCAGGCCCCTCACTGGTAGGTGTTTAGCTTGCTTTCACTGTGTTGGCTGCTATAAGCAATGCTACAATGCATATTGCAGCTTGCAGAAGTCCTTTTATATATAGTGTATCTCTAGGATGTGTACTTGAGATAATGATGGACATTTTCAAATTGCCCTTCTAAAAAGGTGCATCAGAATTCACATTCTTACCAACAGTGCATAAAAGTGCATTCTGATGCTCTTTGAGCCAAAAGCAGGAAGACAGGTTTTTAATGGAAATTCTTTGAGTGATGACTAAATTTTATCACTCCCTAGCATGTTACTATCCTGACTATAGGCCAAATACTTAGTCTAAAAGCTGATTTATAGAACTCTCCCTACCAGTGGGACCAAGGGGGAGAGAGAGAAAGTTTTTGTTTCATTTTGGGTTTTTTCCCAATTTCCCTGCTCCTGACCCATTCTGTCAGTTGGTGGGATTCCTGCGAAGGAACGTGTCTGGGCCAGCAGACCCTGTGTGACTGTTAGTAGTTTCCTTAACCCTCTTTATGCCTCAGTTTCCTCATTTGTAAAATAGAGTTCATAATAGTGCCTGCTTCTTAGAGTTGTAGGATTAAATGAAAAGCCATATGTAAAGCTTGAGGCATGGTGCCTGGCACATGAGAGCTCCCGACCTGTTAGCTCCTGAACCTCCCGTTATTCCTCCCACCCATAGTTGGATTCCAGCCTCTGGTGGTGCCTATTTTTACATCTTACTTCCTCCATGTATTTGACCTGTAAGGTCAAATCTCATTTATGTAGGTGTGATTGGCTTTGCAAACTAGTAAATGGTCAAGAATGGAAGCATCTTGGATCCCAGTGATATATTCTTCATCCAGGAAGATAGACTAAGCGGTAGACGATATGTGTGGCATCCTATCATCTCAATGTGAAACTTTATCATCTCACTGTGAAAAGGCCTCCCCTTGTGCTGCAAACTTTATCATCTCATTTGTGCTGCAAATTTGGTGTGCAGTTTGGTTGGGGCATCTCCGTTGTGTCCTAGCTGGAAGATGTGTCATGATATTACTCCTGAGTTTTGTCTTCCCAGGAAGTGGGGAAGGAGCAGGAATTGTTTCCTAAGGCAGTTTCCTTTCTCATGCTCTAAAAAAACTTTCTTTTCCCATCCCTGGTGAGCTCATTTGTTGAGAGAGGGGAGACCATTTTGCTTTCTAATTTTTCATCTGGTATGCTTTCAAGTTTGTGTTATCTCATTTATTTTTAGAGCTCTCAGTATAGAGAGGTGATAGTTATATTCAGTACCAGTCTGGTTTAAATTTTTCATACTTTTTATAAATGTTTTCTCCTTGACTTATCTGAATGGATTTATTCCTGTAGTAATACAGTTGTAATGGATACATTTGAGAAACTACTTAAAGGGACAGTTCAGCACAAGGATCCTTCAGATACAGATGTAAGGCAGTGGGGTTTTTTTGATTCCTCTCAAAATTTCCAACTCAACTAAAAGCATTAACTGTAAGAATCAGCTGATAAACACATTAATTTTGTGAAAAATCCTTGGTTAAAAATGTATAGTCCCTGGCTGGGCACAGTGGCTCACATCTGTAATCCCAGCACTCTGGGAGGCCAAGTCAGGAGGATGGCTTGAGGCTGGGAGTTTGAGACCAGCCTGGGTAACATAGTGAGACCCTGTCTCTACCACACACACACAAAAAAAGTATAGTCCTGTAAGCTGGTGTTTTCGCTGGTGTTTTAAAATTAGGAGTGGAAATAAATTTGCTGCAAGAATGTTTCTAAATGTCTCTTTGGAAGCTGACAGTAGCATTTAGTCATCCACATATTTTGTGAGCATAGCACCAACCCTCCAAACACTCATGTGGGTGAATGGCTGCTTGCTAGTAGTGTTGGTAATAACTTTGTGTTGAGATGTTTCTCCAACAGGAATGCCACCCACTCAAAAGTAAGAGGAATACCAAGCTTCATCTATGTAACTTTGCTTATTTTTACAGAGACAAGACTTTCCATCTGATTGTGCTTAATGGATTTTCTGCTTCCTCAGAAAAACTTGAATTTTTAAGAAACGTAATTGTCATATAACAGCTCTGTGTGAATTAAGTCATGTCATGGGTAACTCTGTGAGATTTTAGTATCCTCCTGCTGTGCTCTAATGTGATGTCATAATTCCCAAATAGTCTCATGTGCGAGGCTTGGTGTCACTTTGCTTGCGAATACCATGCTTGAACATCTCTGTGCTTCAGCCTGGTGGCAGCGTGTGTCCCAGCACGTTTTATTAGGCTGGTGTGAGACTATTAGCAGTAGAGTTTGCCTGGAGCTATATCCACACTAGGGTTTGTGTCTGTGCCTCTGGCCTGTATATCTAGGATTCAGATGAAGGTTTTATGAGAACAGAGCATTTGGTTTATATTTGTTTGTACCTGATACAAAACTGGGATTTAGCTGTAGTCCATTATTGATTAACTGTGATAAAAGCAGACAGTGAGGTCCAAATGTTGAAATTGACTTTTAGTCAGAAACTTAAAGCTCCCTAACCTGTTGAAGTATTCCAGAGGTGTAATTTTTGTTTAGTTGGAGAATATTCTTACACCGTATGATGCCCACATTAGCATGTTACAGGCACCTCAGCTGCATGAGCATGGAGTAATAATGGCTCAAATCCACCCATTCCTATATCTGGCTAGCCAACCCATTGTGTATTCATCCCAAATACTGAGCTCCAGTAGTGTTCCTGGCATTGGCATGTTAAAACAGCATTACACACAGATTTCAGCAAACTGGTGCTTGTCAAGGAACCTAGCTCTGTTAATAAACATAGTTTTCTAAGGAAACAAAGCCGAGTAATTTAGCAAAAGCTTATCTGTCTAATCTTTTTTTTAAAAAAGTCTTTGAATGTAGCTGGCTGATCAGTCACCTCCAGCTCGGGTAGGAAGGGATCAGACAGTCTGGGCCCTGAAACATCTTGATTTGCTTGTTGGGCAGGGGCTCCCAGACTTGGGTTTCAGACATCAGAGTTAGGGGCCACACCTGGGTTTGCCAGCAGTGTTATGGGCCACGTAAAGTCATAGAAAAAAATAGCAACTATGTATTTTTGCCCTTTTTTTTTTGAAGATCAGAGTTTTGTTTTTTTTTTAATTCGTTCTATTTCAGTAGCTTTAGAGGGGTAGAAATGGTTTTTGGTTACATGGATGAACTGTATAGTGGGGAAGCTTGTGCTTTTAGTGTACCTGTCACCCAAATAGTATACATTGTACCCAGTACCCTTCTGAGTCTCTAGGGTCCTCCAATACCACTCTGTGCCTCTGCATACCCATAGCTTAGCTCCCACTTATAAGTGAGAACATGCTGTATTTAGTTTTCCATTCTTGAGTTACTTCACTTAGGATAATGGCCTCCAGTTCCACCCAAGTTGCTACAAAGGACATTTCATTCCTTTTTATGGTTGAGTATTATTCCATGGTGTGTGTGTGTGTGTGTGTGTGTGTGTGTGTGTGTATCACATTTTCTGTATCTACTCATTGGTTGATGGCACTTAGGTTGGTTTCTTATCTTTGCAGTTGTGATTTGTCCTGCAATAAACATATGTGTACAGGTGTCTTTTTTATACAGTGACTTCTTTTCTTTTGGGTAGATATCCAGTAGTGGGATTGCTGGATCAAATGGCAGATCTGCTTTTAGTTATCTGAGAAATCTCCATACTGTTTTCCATAGAGATTGTGCTAGTTTACATTTCCACCAGCAATGTATAAGCATTCCCATTTCACAACATCCATACCAACATCTATTGATTTTTGACTTTTTTTTTTTTTTTTTTTTTTTGAGATGACGTCTTGCTCTGTCGCCCAGGCTGGATTGCAGTGGTGTGATCTCGGCTCACTGCAACATCCACTGAGCGGGTTCAAGCAGTTCTCCAGCCTTAGCCTCCCGAGTAGCTGGGATTACAGGCACGTGCCACCACGCCTGGCTAATTTTTGTATTTTTAGTAGAGACGAAGTTTCACCATGTTGGCCAGGCTGGTCTCGAACTCCTGACCTCGTGATCTGCCTGCCTTGGCTTCTCAAAGTGCTGGGATTACAGGTGTGGGCCACCGCACCCGGCCTGTTTTTTGATTTTTTAATAATGGCCTTTCTGGCTGGATAAGGTGGTATCTTATTGTGGTTTTAATTTGCATTTCCCTGATGATTAGTGATGTTAAGCATTGTTTCTTACGTTTGTTGGCAATTTGTATATATTCTTTTGAGAAATATCTGTTCATGTCATTTGCCCACTTTTTAATGGGATTATTTGTTTTGGCTTTTTTTTCTGCTGATTTATTTGAGTTCGTAGTAGATTCTGGATATTAGTCCTTTGTTGGATATATAGTTTGCAAATATTTTCTCCCATTCTGTGGGTTGTCTGTTTACTCTGTTGATTATTTCTTTTGCTGTGCAGAAACTTTTTAGTTTAATTAGGTGTCATTTATTTGTTTTTGTTACATTTGCTTTTGGGATTTTAGACGTAAATTATTTGCCTAGGCCAATGTCCAGAAGAGTCTTTCCTAAGTTTTCTTCTATAATTTTTATGGTTTCAAGTCTTAGATTTAAGTCTTGGTTAATTTTTATATATGGTGAGAGAAAGGGATCCAGTTTTATTTTTCTACATGTGGTTATCCAATTTTCCCAGCACCATTTATTGAATTGGGTGTCCCGTCCTCAGTGTATCTTTAAAAACAATCCTAAAATTAATATGGAACCAAAAAGAGCCCAAATAGCCAAAGCAACCCTAAGCAAAAGGAACAACTCTAGAGGCATCCCATTACCTGACTTCAAATTATACTACAAGGCTATAGTAATAAAAACAGCATGGTACTGGTGGTAAAAGTAGATATGTATTGGTACTGGTGTAAAAGTAGATACCAGTACTGGTATAAAAGTAGATGGTACTGGTGTAAAAGTACTGGTGTAAAAGTAGATATGTAGTGGTACTGGTGTAAAAGTAGATACGCAGACCAATGGAATAGTACTGGTGTGAAAGTATGGTACTGGTGTAAAAGTAAATACATAGACCAATGGAACAGAAAAGAGAACACAGATTTTTAAACATCTAAATGTATTTTTTGACTGGGTAATGCATTCACCTAATTCAGGGATCAAAAGATAGGAAGGAAGGGTATGTGGTGGGAGGACTCCTTCCCACTCCCTCCAACCTGCCACCCAGTTTCTCTATCTGGAGCCAAACCAATGTTGCCAGTTTTTTGTGCATTCTTCCTAAGATAGTTTATGCACTTATAATCAAATTACCATATGTGGTCTCAACCCCACTTTAAACAATGAGAATAGTAAAGTGCTACATTTTTGTCTGCAGCTTGCTTTTTCCTGCAGCAGAATCACTTGGAGATCATTTCTATGACATAACAAAGAACTTTTTCATGTTTTGGTTTTGATTTTTGCAACTTTATAATATTACACTTTGTGGATGTGCTTTAATTAATTTGCTGGCTCCCTACGGATGGATGCTAGATTGCTCCTGGTGTTTTGCTATTGTAAACAACACTTGGTCCACATGAATGTATTTGTAGGATCATTTCCTCCAAGTAGACTTGCTGGGTCAAAGGGACATGTGCCTCCATGATTTTGATAGACATTGCCCTCCACAGAAGTTGTACCTTGGGCAGTGGTGGATGGCAGGGCATCCCCTTCCCCTAGTGGTTCTTGGACGGCTTTTCTCTGATAGGCTTTACAGAAAGATCACAAGATGAGGCCAGCGGGGATATACAGAGATCTGACTGGTCCTGCCCTTCATTTAAATTATTTTTCAGCTCTCTGCTTTTAGAGTGAATGACTAGAACACATGACTTCATCTAGAATCAGTGTAGCATGACTGACAGCCCTATCCGGCCAGTGTCGTGGTGGCAAGAAAGATCGGCAGCGTACGCGGACATGCTCCCCTTCTGGGCTTATCTGGGACCCATTTGAGGAAGAGCCCACAATTCTTTTAATCTGACCTGCCTCTTCTCTTCTGTAAAATGAGGAGGGTTGAACACATGACCTTTGGGCTCCTGTCCCAAACCCTGGATTCTTTAAGCCATGTAGGTGGTTTAAACCTTTTGGCTGTGGAGTTGTGTTGAGCCAGTCCACTGGAGGATGCTGAGTTGCTGAGGGCTTCTGAAATGGGCCGAGGAATCCATTATTCTATCACTTCTTCTCTAAGTGTCGCCCAAGAGTTCCTAACAGCTGTGCCTATTGCTGGCAGAAAGTATTGGGCAGGAAATGTTTGGTATTTTTTTCCTCAGTTCCTACGTCTTGCCTTGTAAGCTGTATGTAGGAAGAAGGGCTGCTTGATGGTTTTTTACTTTTGGACAAAAATGAATTCTTAAATTAAATTGGATTCTTAGGTTCTGATGTTGCATTCTTGGGTTCTCAGACTTCAGTGACATACAGGACCTCACAGGTAGTCACTGCTAAGTGGTATATGATTGTAAAAGAAAACAAAGGTAAAAGTAATTCCTCTGGCCTCATCTCTTGTCATGCTGTGGTGCAAAAGTCAGTGTGAACGCTGTTAATGTAGCCTTCGTGCCCAAGCAGCCCTTTAAAATCTGCTTTTATGTCTCATAGTTCCTGAAATCTATCAAAAATACTTTCATCCATGGACACATATTTATGATACCATATAATCTTTATTAATTCTTTTGCTGCCTGAATTAAATTCTGCTCTCAGAGGTGGAGGGTTAGAAGACCGAATTGCCTTGTTTAAGAGCATTAGGTTGATGACGAGCCCCAGGCCTCATAAAGGAAGAGAGAGATCCACTTAGGGCTCTTAGCATCATTCTATGTATTTGGACATATTTCCTAATTTAGGTCTGAAGTACTTGGCATTTGATGGCAGATTGTATTAAGCGGCACACGGCGTGCATCCTAATCAGGGAGCTGTGAGTGAAGTAATCCAGGAGGCTGGAATGCGTGTGACAAGGACGCTTGCTTGGCGCTGCTGCCTCAGCTTACATCACGCTGGAAAATCATTGCTAACGTCTCTTATGATAATTATTCCCCATACACGGACGTGAAGAGACTCTGGATTGGTTGCTCACACTCATCACGAGTTGAAATATCTGTCTGGGAGAGCCTTAGGAATCAGAAATGCAGTGCGCATAGATTGTGGCCACATTCTCCCATACCTCCACCCGAACAGGAAATCCATCTTTCCTTTTGTTCCATATTCTAGTCCAGAGAACAAAAAAAAAACTTGGTATTTTACAAGCAGGATGAAAATGAAATTAGATATTTGCTTTGTGAACTTTCCATTTAAAAATTTTAAATGAAAAAAATTGAAAGTTCACAAAGTAAATGTCTAATTTCATTTTCATTTTTACCTTAAACCTTTAATGTTTTTAATATTTATCTGCTTCCTGGAGAAGTGTAGACAGATAACTCGTGGAGACCAGTTTTCTGGGCTGTTGAGTGATGCTGACTCCCAAAGGGTCCATTGTTGTTGTGAGGGTTGCCGTCATTGTTAATGAATGCTTATTGAACACATGCTGCGTGTGCAATATCTGATTGGCACTGGAAACATAGAGATGAGTCAAATATCACATCTGCCTCAGGGATTACAGCCTTGTGGTCCTTAACAGCGACTTGGCGATGTAAAGGAGGCGTGTTGAGATGGAAACGAGGTCATAACAAGACCTTCGTGATGAACTTGGTGAATTCCAGACTGATAGAAAATCATGTAGATAAATAAATGAGGAATGAACATTCAAATGCATTTTGTACATGTTTAATATTAAAATAGTATCCATAGTTGATATAATTGTTAGTATATGGTTAATAATAAATAATAAATACAGTTCTTCTCACTTGTGAAAACCCTGTAGCACCTCCACAGAGCCCTAGAGTTTCTCAAGACAGAGCGAGAAACCTCTGGCTTAGATGCTTTTGAGGACTGGACCATCTCTGATACTCTGTACAACTGATGGGTTATTCTGTGAAAAGTGTCGTTTGGAATATTGCATCTTATTACAGAAGCCATGATCTTTAGGATCTCTAGGGATCCTGGAAGGGAGTGATAAAGTTACAGAATGTAAATATAGGGGAAAGTTCCTTTCAGCTATAGTCAAGATAGCAGTTGTGTCACCACTGGAGACTGAGCAAGGGTTCTGCAGTCAGGTAAACCTTAGGCAAGTCACTTGCTTTGGCATCCCCATGTGGATACTGGAGCTAATACCCGAGAAAGGTAATGTCCTTTGTATGTGGCTGGTGCTCAGCACTTGTTAGGTGCCTCCTTCACCCCCGGTCCCCCAGCTTTGGGGTCAGGTTGGAGTTCATCAGGCAAAGCCTGGGAGAGAGCAGTCCAAGCAGAGGCAGCAGGGCCTGTGGAAGGGGGTTCCATCGGCTGGAAGCAGCACCAGGTATATTCAGGCCTGCAGGAGCACCAGCAGCCCTGGGCTGCTGCAGGAGCCCTGCTGAAACCATACCTGTAGGTATAGCGGCCCATGCTGCTTCACAGGATTCACTTTCCCAAGAATTGTTTTTGTTGTTGTTGTTTTGTTTTTTTGAGAGATGGAATCTCATTCTATCACCCAGGCCAGAGTGCAGTGGCGCCATCTCAGCTCACTACAACCTCTGCCTCTCGGGTTCAAGCAATTCTCCTGCCTCAGCTTCCCCAGTAGCTGGGACTACAGGCGTGTGCCACCATGCCTAGCTAATTTTTATATTTTTTAGTAGAGACAGGGTTTCACTACATGTTGGCCAGGCTGGTCTTGAACTCCTGACTTCAGGTGATCCGCCTTCCTTAGCCTCCCAAAGTGCTGGGATTACAGGTGTGAGCCACCGCGCCTGGCCCCCAAGAATTGTTTTAAAAGAATGCATTTATGGTAGAATGGGACAGGTCAATTTAGCTTCCATGCAGAACTAATGGAATAAGCTAATGTGAATGCTGTCACTTCATATGAAACCCTTCAAGATGCGAAGCCTTATTGGAGAGGGCTGGCACCAAGTCTTAAATGTCTTTTGTCTTTATTCACACTTGCCTAGTTCCTGTATGCCAATAACATCTGTACCATTTTCTAATTTTTAAAGGAATTATTCAGTCTTCTTGAGACTCTAAGTTTACAGAACCATTTAGATTGAAGAATATCATGTTCATTGCCTTTCTTGTCTTTTGGCTTTCAAATTAAGCTTAGAATGTTATTTAGAGGCTGGTTTTTCTTCCCTGATGGTTTATGTGGAATTGCCTTCCTGGTTTACCATCCTATACCATGGAAGAGAATGAACTTAGCGCTAACTCCATTTATTTCACCTTCACAGATGTGTATGGCTTTGGTTTGTTTGTGCCAAATAAGCCTGGGAGTAAACACTGCCCAGGCATTGTTAGTGTTAAAAATCAGCTCGTTCTCCAGTTCATGGGGAGCTAAGGGAGCCCTATTAGAAATGTTTGCCTTTGTTCCAGAGGTGAAAACACGAAAACACTAGTGCTGCAGAAGAGGCTGTGTGCTTCCCCTGCATGTCCAGACAGTTGAGACTGATGCTGGTTTGGGGCAGAGTAGGAGCAAGAGGGCACTCAGCAAATGGCCTATGTGAGTTGAATTTCTGAATATTTAAAACATTTTACTGTTTTCAAAATACACATCGCAGCTTAGACTCACAAAATATTACCAAGTAGAGAACTTTCACTTTTTATTCAGTACATAGATGACTATGATTTATTAATTTCCTCCGCACTTCAGTCTTCTATAGGGCACTGTGTTAGAGAGTGGGTTTGTAATTAACTTATCAATTACTGAGTTGCAGATGAATCCTTCTAATGGACGCAAAGTTACTCTTTAAAGCATTCCCTCGATGTGTTATTAATTTACAGGGTAAATCCCCTTTGTAGAGAGCAAAGGAAAACTCCTGCTCAGCCCACATCTGAGCGGTCGCATCCCAAACTAAGGGACTCAGGAAGAGCCATGAGGCTGAAGGTGCATTAAAATGAGGAAGTGGGCTGTGTCCAGAGAGCTGCTCTGCTGGACCTGGCTTCCAGCCTTAGCTTGCCTCTGCTGCAGGAGAACTGTGCCAGGGACGTGGGATGACCGACTGGCCCCAAACTGAATTCCTCATCCAGATTTCTTTGGGTCTTTGCAGGGTTAGGCCATCTGGCCCGGGTGGCTTCTTTGCACTCTGCTGTTTGCTTGGGTTTGAACTCTTACTGTGATCTCATGATCACAAGTTTTAAAAGTATGTTGAAAATGACATGAAAATAATCCCTCCCCGAGCGCATTTCCCCTTCCTGGCTCGCCCCTGCCCTTTCCCCACCTTTATACTCTTGTGGCACCTGTCCACCTGTCAGTGCCCCTCCTCACGGTCCACTTCAGGTTTTCTCAGAGCACTGGCTGCGTGGCGAGGAGCATGGGTAAGGCCCCGGTGCCCATCTTCAGCCTGGCCTTCTAGACTGTGGGGAGTCAGGCCCCATCTTAGCTCCTAGCTCTCTAGTCCTGTGCTTCCAGAATGAGACCCCTGCTCCAGCCAGGCCAGCGCCATCCTCAATGTGCCACATTCATTCCTGACCGGGGACTGGCACTAGCATCCCCTCTTCCTCTCCTGTCTTGCCATGTCCTTTTGAAAAACAGTCCTACTTAACAGAAGCAGCCTTACAAACTATCTGCCTCTCATTGAGCATCAGAGCTCTGGCCCTGAGCTTGTACAGAACACAGGGTCTGCATCTCATTTTTTTTTTTTTTTTTTTTGAGACGGAGTCTCGCTGTCTCCCAGGCTGGAGCGCAGTGGCGCGATCTCTGCTCACTGCAAGCTCCGCCTCCCGGGTTCTCGCCATTCTCCTGCCTCAGCCTCCCGAGTAGCTGGGACTACAGGCGCCCGCCACCACGCCTGCCTTTTGTATTTTTAGTAGAGACGTGGTTTCACCGTGTTAGCCAGGATGGTCTCTATCTCCTGACCTCATGATCCGCCCACCTCGGCCTCCCAAAGTGCTGGGATTACAGGCGTGAGCCACCGCACCCAGCCTGCATCTCATATTTTCATACCGGCACCGCCCAGCACTATTGCCTCCCCAGATTGGCAGCAATTTGGAAGCAGGAAGTAAGCACTGATAGCTGAGTAATACTTACCACTGTCATGGCTGAAGTTCTTCGTTAGCCTGAAAGGCAGTATAGGTAGAGCACAGGGGTTCTCACATGCCAGCATGCATCAGAATCTACAGGAGACCTGATGAAAACACTGAGCACTGGCCCCACCCCCGGAGCTTCCGACTCAGTGGGTCGAGGGTGGGGCCTGAGAATTTGCATGTCTAACAAGTGCCCAGAGCAGCGGAGGCTGCTAGTCCTGGGACCACACTTTGAGCACCCTGGGGTAGAGGTTTAAAGAGTATGAGCTTTGATACCACCCACCCAGGTTTGAATCCTGGTGCCAAAACTTCCTAACTGGGCAAGAGGTTTGAGCTCCTTAGGGCCCCATATTCTCCTGTGTAAAGGGAGTAAAATCATGGTACCTATCTTACAGCACTGTGGAGGTCAGGTGAGATAACGCATCATAGCAGTGTTTTGCATGTAAGAGAATATTATAAATATTAGCTGTTATTAATAACTATTTTGGTAGGACAGGAAAGACATTGTGATATGGTCACAAAGTGGCGCAGGAATGACACGAGCTGCGCTCCACCTAGTGCCACCTCAGCTCCTTTTGTTGCCCATGTAATTTGGGGCAAGCTACTTAAAATTATTTAAGCCTCAGTTTCTTGATGCACAAAATGTAGGCAGTAGTATTTGTCTTCTCTCCCTCTTGGTGGTTGTGAGATTCAAATGGAAGGATATTCCGAAGGAATTTGTGTGAAAGGCATGTCCTGGGTATTACAAAGAGCTCATATGTGTAGTGTTTGTTTATGTGCAAAATGCTGCTAAGCATGTCTCTGCCAATACCTCATGCACCATGTAGAGTGAGTAGAGGCCGTTATGCCTTAGGGAGCTGGGGGGAGCCCCTGGGTGGACCTGCTGCCCTCCACCAAAGGCCCTGATTATTCGCTGCGGCTTCCCAGTCTCCCCCTGGGGCTATTTGTTTCAGTGATCTGATTTTAGCTGCCTGCCTGCCCTCTTCTAGAAGCTTTTGTCCAGTCTAACTTTGGGCCAAACTAGAAGTTGCCAGGCTAGTCAAAAGAAAATCGATAACCAAGCTAGTGTAATATACTGAATTTCATGTGCAATGTTCACTAAGTCCTGTCGGCATACAGATACTTGTACATTATGAGCATCTCATGGTAACCTTTTCATTTTCAAAATAGTATGCAAGTTGCCTTTAATTTTAAAGAGTTCACTTCATAGTTTGCAGCCTCAGTTTTCACTCCGTAAGATAGATATTATAACCTTCTCTTGGTGATTATTTCCGTGTGTCAGTGTTCCTGGCATTTTGACACTGCCCATGCTCTCTGTGGGGATGAGGCCTGTTGGGAGCATGAAGGAGGGTGTAAGGATTTTCAGCTCCCAGTCAGTCATACATTTGCACGATGGTTATCATCTCTTCGCTGGACTCACTGCTCTGACATGAATATTCCCTGTTTGTGTTATGTGAGCATTAACCAGGTCTTCATGATCACATTTCTTACCCTTACACCAGCACTGAGACAAAAATGATCCCAAAGCAAAGAGAGAACCATATTCTGCTCACTCCACAAAGTAGGCCTGGCCTTCCTTTATTATTCCCAGCACCTACGGACGTGCTGAGAGAGAGAGATTGGCCGGTTTGGATGGTTTTTGCCTGGATTTGTACCCGAGTGTACTCTTGCTCTGTGGGTTCCTTTCAGGCTTAGGTCACAATAGGTGTTGGTTTGGCCTCACTCCGGTCCTTTGTAGACATCTGCCCACATCACAAAGCCCCCATGTTTGGCACAGCCCGCAGCAGTTGGCACTGCCTGCCCGGGAAGAGTCCAGTCCTGGAACAGCGGGGGTTGCAGGTGCATTGGCACGTGGTGGTGGGGAGCGCACACAGGCCTTGCCTACCCAGCGCCTGGCGACGCTCAGCAACACCGTCCCATCCCTGAAATATCTTGGCCTCGTGGGCTTGTCACTCCAATTAAAACTTAAACATGAAAGCGGCTCAGGCTGCTTCTCCCTTTGTGCTGAATTTGAGCATGGACGGTGCCAGAAGCATGTCGTGGAGACTGTTAAGGGGTGCCATGTTGCAGGGAACGTTGAGGGGGTCAGGGATCCATTTCTTCAAGATTTGCATCTTGCCGGTTGCTGCTGCGAAGTGCACCTGAAAGGCAAGCTTCTGTTTGCCAACAGAAAGTCACCTTTGGGATGGTGGTGAAAGTCATTTTCCACATGTTCACAGATACGGCCGTGTTACCAAGCCTCACGCTATGACTTATCTCTGGCAAGGACTTACAAAATAGTCTCTCTGGCTGATTGTCAAAAATTACATCATATCGGAGTAAACTGCTTTTAAATCAGACATCCATTATTCATGTATATTAACTGCATTTTTATTTTTTTATTGGCTGTTTTGTGTATGATTTACTCTTTTGTCACTGGCTCCCCCTCTCCCCAGTTGTCTATCTTTCTCATTCCTGTTTTTTTAAAGTCTTAGCTCATCTGTGAATTTATAGAGACTGTTCACCTAGCTTTGTGCATGAACGTTGATAGGCACACCTTGCATTTTTGTAGTTCAATTCCACGTTTCTGTGGATCTTACTTTTGTTGGGTCAGAATAGCAATGTGGGTCGTTTATGTGAGTAAATTCTACCATGAAGATGTATAGGACTTTTTCTTTTGTATCTTTTGTTTTTTAAAAAGGAGCATCACTAGTCTTGTATGTGAAGATCTGTACTGAATAAAAGTGTACCTGGCACTTAGCAAACAGCTGTATACATTGCAGTTGGTGGACAGCAAATCGACTTTGTGTGTTCATTTGTATGCGTGAAGCCTGTCTTTACTGTAAGGCCAGCATAGCAGTCGCCTGTAAGGGGTAGATACACGCAGACATGTACAGTGTGTATTCATCTGCTCATTCTTTCATCACCTGTATACTGAGCCCCTCCTATGTGCCAAACACTGCACAGGTATCCAAAGGAGCTTCTGTTCCTTCCAGACAGTGCGGGGGGCGCACCCTGGGCATCTGGCATCTTCCATGGTTATGGTACTTTTTCCTGATTCATGGCATTTGACTGGTTGGAATAAAGACTAGGTACAGATTATTCTATGTATTTAACCCCCAAATCAACATTGTTTTTGCAGACAGCATCTGGATTCTTTTATGCTCATTACTTGAATCTTTGTTGACTATTTCTTCCAGCACCTCAGACCTTTTTTCTGGAATGATTTTCTGTCTCCCAAAAGTGCATTCTTTAGAAGTTTCTTTCATAAGGACTTGGTCACAAGTGTTTTCCGTGTTTCTTTCTTACAGCACCTTCATTTCATCCTTATCCTTGAAAGGTAGTTTTGCTAGTCTTTTACAGTTCTAGCTTGACAGTTATTTTTGCTCAGCCTTTGAGGATATGACTGGTTTTGCCTTCCACTGACACTACTGACGAGTTGGCTGTCAGTCTGTCATTCTCTTTTAGGACTTTCTCTCCTTTTGACTGCTTTTAAGATCTTCTCCTTGTCTTTAATTTTCTGTGGTTTCATGCCAATGTCTCTTTGTATGTCTGGGATTTATTTATTTATTTTTATACTGTCTGGGATTTCTTGTGTGTCCCTCCTTTCAGTTGTAGAGAATTCTTGGCCCTTATCTTACTGGAAATGTATCGCGATGCTCTGCGTGGAGCTCAGGGGAGGTGTGCATGAAGGCAGCTTCTCCCCTCCTCCGTGCTGCTCACTGCCCATTCAGATTTCCCATCTCTCTGTCTGTTGCATTCCGCCCAATTCCTCAACTCGGTATTCCAGTCCACAGTTTCTCTCTCGGACTTATTTCTTGCTTATCTCATCCATTGACTTTTTAATTTCTAGAAATTCTCTGCTTTATTTTTCAAATCTGCTTAATCCGATTTCCTACTTTTTATCCTCTCCCTCTTTTATCTGTAAACATTTTCAGCATGCTTATTTTGTATTCTTTATTTGATCTTGCCTGGAAGTCTAATTCTCCTTGTTTTTCTGTCTCACATATGATATATCACTTCTTGCTGTATTTGGATTTTTTAAATTGTGAGCTAATACTCAGTTGATCTTGATTTGTAGGTTTCTTAAAGGGGCCTGAGTTGAAATTGTTTCCCTCCTGAGAAGATTCTGCCAAGGTACTGGGAGGTATGTTACCAACCCGAAAATACTTTATTAGGCTTGGATTCTTTTAGCCTTGCAGGTGGTGTAAACTCAAACCCAGAACTTGTGTGGGGGCAGACATGTGACTTCAGACTGTTTTCCACCCCGAACTGAACCTGAGGCAGACACGTTTCTGGGTAAGCTCTCTGCACCAATAGATACTTTCCCCATCTTGCTTGCTTTTTACTGAATGTATGTAGCCCTGCAGGGACCCAACTGTAGGTTCTACTTCATGCTGGGCAGATGCTTGGTCTCCTGTTTCCCCAGCTCTCCTGTTTCCCCAGCTCTCCAGGCTCCTGACACTGGAGGGAGGGTCCAAACTAGCCCCTGGCTTGAATGCTCTCTTAACTTCCTGGGTTTCGTGCTCTCTTCATCTGGGTTTCATGCTGTCTCCATTTTGGGCTCCTGTGAATTTCTCTGATTGCTTATTAAACAGAATGTCTGAAGGACTGTTTGATGATAGGCTGAGTCTTATCCAGCATGGTCACTGTTTGTAAATGGCAAGGTTTTCCAGACATTCTTGTCTGCCATGTTGTCAGAGGTGGGACTGTCGGACTGGATGTAGTTGGGGCACTCTGGCATCTGAATAGTATGAAGAGATCTCTGTGGAACCATCTTCTGTTTTGGGTAGGATGGAGCAGTTCCTTTGTACATACCAGCAGCAAGATCCAGGAGTGGAGGAAGGTGTTAAAGCACTAAAAGCAACATCTGAGTATCTTTGGGGTCTGAGACTATAGGAAGCTCTGGATTTGCCTGGCATCGTGTACCAATCAGTGAGCCTCCAAACACAAATGCAGGCACTTAGTGAGATGCGGGAATGTGTAACTGACACTGTACCTGGCATGTACTGCCCTTTAATAATTGCCACATGAATGAATGAATGATAGGATCTCTGTCCCCAGGAACCTTAGAGTTAGGAACCTTAGAGTTGAAACCTAGGAGAGTGTTACAACGTGTAGTGTGATGCGGTGTGGTGCTTGGTAATAGTGCTGCAGAGCCTCCCCTGACCTGCTGGAGTCACCGCCTCCTCCCCTCCAGTATCTGAGAACCACAGATCTGGGGAAGA